>NC_000012.12:69884370-70035885 GCF_000001405.40 Homo sapiens
CCAGCTTATAGCCATCTCCCAGGGAAGCCACAACTGTGTCACCCCTATTGGAGCAGCTGCTGTGATACCCTTACTGTTGTGATGACAAAGGGCAGGAAATGCTGTTGTCTTTGAGGACAATCCTCCCTGCCCCTGTCCACCCTCCCTGTCAGTGTCTGGAGAAGTGGAGCTGGCTTTTGGCTGCATGCCTGAGAACATTGACCTTGCTGCCACGCTTGAGTGGGAAAGGGCATGATTTAGCCAGTATTCAGTCAGGAACATGGGCTAGTTATTTCACATTCGATAGAGCTACCATGGAGGCCAACAACAGGAGTATTTCCCAAGGCTTCTTAGGAAATACTGAGCCACCTAAGTTGAAACAAGTACAGTGATAATGACAGTGCCACTAGTAATAGCTGAAGGCACCATTGTTTAAACTCTTACCAGTGGTAGACACTGTGCTCTGCGTTTTACAGTCATGGCCTCATTGAAACCCTTCAACAACTCTGGAAGGTAACATGATTACTCCCATTTTGCAGATGAAAAAACTGAAGCTCAGAGAGCTTAAATCATTTTTGTAAGATTGCTTGGCCCTTAAGTGTAGAGTTGTGATTCAAACCCAGATCTGTCTTGATTCAAAACTCCAAGCTCTTGACCCTTTCTTCATTGTAGGAGAGAGGAAGAAAAAAAAGGAAGAATTATGTTCTCTCTTTCTCTCAATTTGGTGTAAGCAGGATAACCATAGAAGGGTTTCTTTCTTTTTTTTAAAAAAAAATATTTTAGACCACTTAGCTTTTGGAGGAGTGAGAGCACGAAGAGCTCCTTGCATTGTCCACTTCCTGTATTTGTAGCTGGGAAAAAAAGTTTTTCAGTGTTTTGAGAAATCTTTCTAAAATGGGCATTTTATAAAAACAAAAAATGCATATTTTGCTTAAGTGACATTTAATAGCAATACCCCAAGAGAAATACTTTTTTTTTTTACATTTGGTATGAAAAGCAACTTGAAGCAGCTCTATTTATTTATTTTAGGAAGTCCTCAATGGAAGTATAAAGAAAGGAAAAGTTTGAAGATGAAAAAACAACCCAGCTCCTTTCTCCTGCATTCTCCAAGCTGTGGGCTAGGTGGATACATTCAATAGGAGCTAATGTCCTATTTGTACATTGTTACTGAGAGCCGCACCTGGTCTCACAAACACCCACTATTTCCCATTCCCTCCTGATGCCAGGCATGAGTGATGGTAGAGGAGTTAAAAGAAAAGGGAACAGCAACCATACCAATACCATTTTACATAAAAATTATCTGAGGTTGAATCCATATGGTTTAGGAGGCATACTCAAATTAAGACAAGTTGCAAGGATTATGCAAAATAGGAGGTTGCACATGTGAAATTGCTGTTATTTGACCATTTTTGACATAGAAAAGTGGCAGTTTTCTACAGTTGATATTGCACACTAACAAGATTTTCTCTGTTACTTTATCTTGGTTCTAGCTTCTGAAAGTGCTTTCACTTCCATTATGTCATTCTCTCTGCTTGTGTAATGCTGTAATGTGTAAAGATGGCAGGATACATGTTTTTAATTTCTATTTTGCAGTTGAGGGAAGTAAGACTCCAAGTGAATAAATAACTGGTCTAAGTTCAAAAAGCTAATTAGACCACAGAATCTTGGAGCCACAAAAGACCTGCCAAAATTAAAATATACTGGTTGCAATGAACAAAAACAAACCAAAATTCAAAAAAAAGCAAACCCTCAAACTGCCTTGTGCAAAAAAAGCAAAATAAAACAACAATAACAAAACAGGCAAAAAACAAAATTAGGGGAACTATTGGCTCCTGTTAACGCGAGGGTTTAGAATTGGGTCCCAGAACTCAGATGACACCATGAGGACTGGTGCCCTTCATTTTTAACTCTGCCTTCTGCTGTGCTGGCATCATTCCCAGATGGGCTTTTCCCTCATGTCCGAAAATGGTGCCAGCAGCTGTTGGCGATGTATCTTGCAGGTTCAAACCTCATGGAGAAGAGTGAGCATCCCTGAAGTGCTGAGATCCACTCTGCTTGAATTGGGATAGGCCACATGTCCACCACTGATGCAATTACTGATGCAAGGACTGAATGCTGTACTTTGGTTGATTGAGCTGGGTCACCTATCCTCCCGGCTCTGGGAATGAACTTCACTGCAACCACACAGACTGAAAGTGAGGAGAAGCTATGCAGGATGTAGGGTAGATAGATATCAGGGACAAAGTTTCCAACAGGTGTTTACCCCCCACCCTTTGACAACGCTGACCCCAGGCTGCTCCTTTCACAGATGAGAAAATGAGGTCAGCAACACACCTCCTACCCCCAGCACATGACACTTCCCTAGTCACTCTGCCTTACACATGGCCCACTCATCAGCTTCATGCTGCTAGCTGTGAGTTTAGGAAAAACAGCCTGGAAGGAAGGCTCTGACGCACCTGTTTCTTTGCAGTGACAAGTAGGAGTCGCAGCAGTGAAGTCCAGGACCCTGACAGTGAGGGACAGAACAGAATGCCTACAGACCAGTGCTCTCCTGCTCTGAAGTGGCAACCATGCCATAGTGTTCCTTGGCACAGCTTATTAAACAGTCATTATGAAAAACTGTAAGTGGCTTGAGTGGGCTGGAGAGTGAGGGGAGAAAGACAGTGCTAAATCTCAGTACTGAGTTCAAGCACTGGAGCTTTGATGTCACCTCTGGTCAAGTGGGGCAAATCAGTGAGAAAGTGTCTGTCTTACTCCTCATTTTTTACATCCTAACAAATAAATAGTTGGAATATGGGTTTCTGGCCTTCAGAAAGCCAGACTTATAGTTCCACCTGATTATAATTTAACCACTAAATGATGGAGAAAGAAGGAATCTTTCTGGGATCACATGCCCAGTTTAAACTAAAAACTGGAATATAAACATTCCCCAAATCACTAACACTTAATCCTGCAGTTAACTTATAATGCCATAAAATACTTTTCTGGGGGCCACATTAAATTGTGAGCCAATGACCACCCCCCACGTATATGCTGTGAATGAATATTACCAAGTTCACTGACAATATATCCTGCAGCAATCGTGGTAGATGGTTTCTTTATGTTAAGGAGTCTGAAGTCAAATCATACAAAACATCCTAAAAAAGTGGAAAAGCTTCACCCAATTTTTATGACATAAGATAGTTTCAAGAAATAAATGTGCAATCCTATATTATTACTCTTAAACATCCTTTAGACTTCTTTATTTCTTAGCATGTAATTTACCTACTTAAGCCTTCTAGAATTTTCATTGGGCTATAACTTAAGTTAAAATTTTCCAAATTCAAATTTTAAAATTTTCCAAATTCAAATACTGTAAAGCTTATCACTAGGACTTTCATGGTGGATGTACTAGAGGGAAGAAATATTTTCCTTAAAAGAAAATCTAGGGAGTTAAACAGACTTTGGGAGTTGGTGTGTTTAATAAGCTAAAGGAAGCTCATTGCTCATTGTATCATTGAAATGTCATGACTTTGTGTCTTTTCTACTGTGTGCAATTAGAAAAAGAAATGAGGGGTCCATGGGTTTTGGCTTTGAGGCTTGGCCTTCCTTAGATTATCTTTTGGGGAACATTCCATGTTTTGTAAGAAATATGAGCACCGAGGTATGAAACTGTCACACGCAGGCTCAATGCTTTAATTAAAACTTAACTGCTTCCCAGGCTCTATGCATCAAGTTGATCAAGTTTTCAAGGTAAGTGTTATCCCTCTTCTTATTTGAAAACATTTTTAAGTTTGTTTGAACAGCCTATCTTGGCTCCAATAATCTAGAAAAATATGGAGAACACAGAGTATATGGAAACAAAGGAGAACACAGATGGTATCAACTCAAAAGTAATGAGGCAGATTTATGTTGAGTATTTAGCCATAATTCACTTTTCCTAAGCAAAAAAGGAAGGCAATATTTACCCAGTTTAGAATTCAGGCCCTCCTAATTTCACTATTTATATCAATGAGACAGAAAAACACCCATCTTTTCTTATATAGTTAGGTCTAATTTGTTACAAAAATATCATTTTCTTAAGTAACCTAAAAACAGTTCAGTTAGGGCATTAAAATTTTATCAATTTTTTTCTGAATTATGTTTCAATGCTATCAAAGAACTTTTAAAAAGCCAGTTTAATTGACTTTATACTTAACTTTTGATATCAGAAGCAGAATCGCCATTCTTAGGTAAGCAGATTTCTATAATCAGAGATTGGTGTTTAAGGTTCAGAATAATCATCAACAGTATAACTCTTACTGATTGATTCCGTTTCTGATTATTGCTGCCCTAAATTTCAGCCTAACGCTCATATCTTAGCTGTACTTTTTTTCTTCAGAGTTTTTGACAGTGAAGCATAAAACATCACCAAAAATGTTTTATTCTCAACTAAGACGGTTCTTATTACCCTCTGTAGTAAAATCTACATAATTCTACCCATCTAGCCTTTAGATGAACAAATTAGCAGATTAATTCTAGAAACTTGAGTCAATAAGCAGTTTCCAGATGGCATAAGATGTGTAGTCTTTATCAAATTCTTCATTCAGTGGATTTTCTTTTTGCTGCTGGTAGGCACTGTGATTGTGGAGCCTTTGACTGATTGGCTTCTTAAGGGTAGTCAATGACTCAGTAACTTGATCCATTGGGAAGGTGCAAAGAACATGAACACTCTTCTCCCAAGAGACCCATTAATTTTTTCTGTTTCTGGAATTAGAGGAAAATTTAGAAACTCTTGTGTTATTCATTATAATAGCAGCCATCCAAATTGAGATCCCAGGATGCATAGATCTGTACAGTAGTAGAGCAGTGAGTAATGCCCTCCTCTGCTTGCAGAGAGCTTCTTTCTTGAGAAGAAACCCACATTTAGGAAGCTTGATGAATTAGAAATCCTGCCGCATATTTTCATCATGCATGGGAAAAATTCATCAAAGAAGTTTTCAACTTTTATGTTCTCTATTTGATAATGTTATGCATTTAATATGTTTTCTTTTTATTAACATTTTAGAATTGTTTTATTAAGCCTATTACAGTTTGAGTATTCCTTATCTGAAATGTTTGAGATCAGAAGTATTTCTGATTTGGGAACTTTTTTGGATTTTGGAAGATTGTATTATACTTACCCTAATCCAAAAATCTGAAATCTGAAATGCTCCAGTGAGCATTTCTTTTGAGCATCATGTAGGTGTTCAAAAATTTTGGATCGGCTGGGCGCAGTGGCTCACGCCTGTAATCCCAGCACTCTGGGAGGCCAAGGCCGCAGATCACCTGAGGTCAGGAGTTCAAGACCAGTCTGGCCAACATGGCGAAACCCCATCTTTACTAAAAAAATACAAAAATTGGTTGGGCATGGTAGCTGGAGCCTGTAATCCCAGCTACTCAGGAGGCAGAGACAGGGAGAATTGCTTGAACCCGGGAGGCGGAGGTCGCAGTGAGCTGAGATCACGCCACTGCACTCCACCTGGGCGACAGAGCGAGACTCTGTCTCAAAAAAAAAAAGTTTAGGATCTTGGAGCACTTCAGATTTGGGATTTTCAGATTTGGGATGCTCAATTTATATACACAAAGCATTGCTATTAGAAATAGCAATGATAAAACCAATAAAGCAAAAATTTGATTAGCCACCCTGCCACTATCCCATTTCTTTCTGCAGAAGTAACCACCATTGTAGGTTTTCAGTGCTATTACCAAATTGGGAGAATAAAAAGGAAATGACCATACTCTAGTGAAAACAGGTTTCCAATCGATTGTATAACTGGCTCTGGTTGATTTAAGAGAATTTCTGGTAATTCTGCTAAGTCTGCTTTTTCATGTGATCATCAATAGGCTGAATATTCTTTCATCCAAGTGACTTTTTAAATATGGTGTTGCTGGTGAAATTTTGAGACTTTTTTTTCCTAAAGGAGAAAAGAGATTAATTCCACCCCAGATATTTCACAAGTCTAAGTAATGTGTTGACTTCTCAACATCTAGCCTACATATTTCTATTGTGTTGTGGAGTCAAATTAAAAGTCTAAAAAACACAAAGGGGAAAGGCAATCTGAAAAAAATAATGCTTTCATTTGGCAAGAATTGTACTTCTGGCCGGGTGTGGTAGCTCACACCTGTAATCCTAGCACTTTGGGGTGCTGAGGTGGTTGGGATCACTTGAGGTCAGGAGTTTGAAACCCAGCCTGGCCAACATGGCGAAACCCTGTCTCTACTAAAAATACAAAAATTAGCCGGGCGTGGTGGTGTGCACCTGTAGTCCCAGCTTACTCAGGAGGTTGAGGCAGGAGAATTGCTTGGACCCAGGAGGCTGGGGTTGCAGTGAGCCAAGTTGGTGCTACTGCACTCCAGCTTAGGGGACAGAGCAAGACTGTCTCAAAAAAAGAAAGATTGTACTTCTTTGTGAGAAAATAAAAAGCTGGGAAACAGCCAGCTGTGTTTTGAAATGTTATTTTTATTTCCTCATTAAAAATTCAAGAAATCAATTGATTAAATATAGCAAAAGGCACTTTTCACAGTACGTTTTCTTGAAATGTTTATACAACTAATACTGTTAATGAAAATAAATATATGGAAACATTTGTAAAACTGGTTTCTTGGTTTCTCTTTTCATAGACCTGATGTGGGCTATCGAGTTGTAACAGACAAAGGATTTAATTTTTCACCAGCAGATGAAGCTTTTGTTTGCCAAAAGAAGAATCATTTCCAGATAACCATTCACATCCAAGTTTGGGGAAGTCCAAAATTTGTTGAAACCGAGATGGGCCTAAAGCCAATAGAAATGTTTTACTTGAAAGTTTTTGGCACTAAGGTATGTCTTTTATTTAGTTCAGTTTATATCAGTCAACATTTATTTTGTTTCAGTTGTCTATTGCTGCATGACAAACTATCCCAAAATGACTTAAAATAATAACAGTCCTTTATTTTGGTCACAAATCTGCAACTGGGTCAGCGTGTGACTATGACAACTCATCTTTGTTCAGAAGTCATCAACTGGGGCAGCTTAACTGGGCCATTTTCAAGAAGCACTCAGATGCCTGTTGAGTTTGGGCTGGCCATCAGCTGGAGCTCAAATGGGGCTCTAACTGACAGGGCTTAGCTCTTCTCCATGTGAACTGCTCTATGGGATAGCTTGTGTTTCTTCACACCATGGTGGCTGGCTTCTAAGGATAAACATTGCAAGACAAGTTAAGTGAAAGGTGTCAATTTCTTTCTTTCTTTCTTTCTTTCTTTCTTTCTTTCTTTCTTTCTCTTTCTTTCTTTCTTTCCTCCTTCCTTTCTTTTTCTTTCTTTCTTTCTTTCTTTCTTTCTTTCTTTCTTTCTTTCTTTCGTTCGTTCGTTCTTTCTTTCTTTTTTTCTTTGAGACATGGTCTTGCTCTGTCACCCAGGCTGGAGCACAGCAGCATGATTATGCCTCATTGCAGCCTTGACCTCCCAGGCTCAAGTGGGAGCCTCCCAAATAGCTGGGACCACAGGTGTGTGCCACCATGCTGGCTGTGTTTGTAGAGATGGGGTCTCACTATGTTGCCTGGGCTGGGCTTCAATTCCTGGGCTCAAGTGAGCCTCCTGCCTCAGTCTCCCAAAGTGCTGGGATAACAGGCATGAGCTACCATATCCAGCCAAGATGTCGATTTCGTAAGCCTGGGCTCAGAAAATGGCACGGCATCATTCAAATGATAGTTTTATAGTTTTCAGTGAATACTCTTGCAATTCTTTTACTAAATGTATTCTTAATTATTTTATTTTTATTGATGTTGATGCATTTTCATATGAAGTAGATTCATTATTTTCATCAAATTATCAAAGAGATCTGTGACCTAAAAAAAGCCAAGGAGCCACTAATTTAGTCAACGCCCTCCTGTACAGTTTAACAGAGGGGAGACTGAGGGCCAATAAGGTTACACAATTCATCCAAGGTAGTAAATGATAGAGCTCGGTTCAGAATGGAGGTAATATGACTTCTGAGTGATCAAAAAGTATTTCTTAAATTGTAACTTCATATCCAGTTCCTAAGAGGGAGAAGCATTCATTATCTGCCTATTTTGTTGTTTTTGTTGTTGTTTTGTTTTCTTTAAGACAGGGTTTCGCTCTGTCGCCTAGACTGGAGTGCAGTGGCTTTATCACAGCTCACTACAGCCTCAACTTCCTGGGCTCAAGCAATCCTCCTGCTTCTGCCTCCCAAAGTGTTGGAATTACAGGCATGAGCCATTGTGCCTGGCCTACATATTTTATTCTGATAGCTAACCTGGGCTTAGGCACTAAGGCTTGGCTGCTGCACACATAACTGTTCTTGCACCAAACTGAGCTCTTAAAAACAAAACAAAACAAAAACCAAAATACATATAAACATCAAACAAACAAGCAACAAAAAGACATTCTTTGTATGATTATGAATGTAATATAAGTTCATTGTGAAAATTTTGGAACATAATAGAAATGTATGAAAAAGAGATGAAATTCATTTGTATTTGGGATCCACCATTTGGTAGCCTATTTTTTCTCTTTTCTTCTGTTATTAAAATTAATCTCATATTGCTAGTAATATATTGTGGACATCACATTATATGATATTAGTAAGGACCCCATAAAAATATTGTTCACAAAGATAATATAGTTTTCCATTGTATGGATGCATCATATTAATTCCCTTATTATTAGAAGTTTTGTTTATTTTCCATTTTTTATTGTTAATAAAACTTCAGTGAACATCCACCCACCTTTGCATAAGGATACATTCCAGAAGGGGAATTTACACATGAAAGATACATATTATTAAAACTCTTGATGTAGGCCACCAGTTGCTTTCTAGAAAGATTTGTTACAATGTGAATACCCACCAGTTGTATATTACAGGGCTGATCTCACAAGTCTTTTCCAATATTCACAGAACAAGAAGAGTTTGTAGCAGATGCTGAATAAATGTTAATTCTTATGATTTGTTTATTATATTGTATATCATTGTTTCTTCATAGTAGAATGAATGTAAGCTCCCCAAGGACAGGAAATTTTGTTAATTGTGTTCAGTTCTTATCTCTAATGCCTAAAGCAGTTCCTCGTACATAGTGGGTGCTCCATAAGTACTTCTAGAATGAATGAATAAATAAGGAGCTGCCTTACTCCTGATGTTTCAGCCATCTTCCAGCCCTCTCTGTATTCACTGCCTACCTGAAATACTCTGTTGTCTTGTGTTCTCATTGTTTAATTTCACAGGTATTTATTTCTTTCCTCATCAACAGAATACCACGTTAAGGTAGGGACTATTGTCTTATGTGTCTTTTCAGTGACTTGTTCCTCCTGCCCAGTGCCTAGGATGATGCCTTGAAAAGCTTTTTAAGTACTTGAACATTCTTTGCTGATTAACATTTTAATTAATTAATTAATTAGTTTACTTTTTGTTGTTTCATACAGGTGGAAGCTACCAATCAAATAATTGCTATTGAACAGTCCCAAGCAGATAGGAGCAAAAAGATTTTCAATCCTGTTAAGTAAGAATTTATTTTCTGAATTCCTTTGTGAATGTTTTGTGAATAAACACCTACTTTGTTTTTTATATATATATAATTTTATTTATTATCTAATATATTTTGCTTATTTAAAATGAAACCTACCATAGAATCCAAATTAATAATGTTAATTTTTTTTTTTTTTTTTTTTTTTTGAGAAAGAATTTTGCTCTTGTTGCCCAGGTTGGAGTGCAGTGGCGTGCTCTGGGCTCACTGCAACCTCCAACTCTTGGGTTCAAGGGATTCTCCTGCCTCAGCCTCCAGAGTAGCTGGGATTACAGGCATGAGCCACCATGCCTGGCTAATTTTTTGTATCTTTAGTAGAGATGGGGTTTCATCGTGTTGGCCAGGCTGGTCTTGAATTCCTGAACTCAGGTGATCTGCCTGGCTCAGCCTCCCAAGGTGCTGGGATTACAGGCGTGAGCCACAGTGCCCTGCCATTAATGTAGTATTAATGTTAATATTATGAATATATGTTTATCAACAAAGCAGAGTTGTACTATGCATTGAAACTGTTGCAAAAATTCTTTATAAAACGATCCATTTTTAAAGCCACTGTTATTTTCATATTGTTTATTGCTAAAAACTTTGCTAACAACCTTACTAACAACTTTAGTTCCTTGAAATAAATTATGGCTAGATCTTTCTTTTAATTTTTCATTTAAATCAGCATGATGTTGATTGAATTAGTTTTGAGATTGTATATCCATGCTGTACTTAGAAGTCATTTTTCCTTATTCTTTAAAGCCATGTTGATAGCTTGCTGAATGGATTCCAGTATAGAAAGCATATATAGCTGGTAGTATGCAAAGCAATATGGCAGTCCAAGCTAGAGTCCTCTCTGTAGGATGACTTAGAATGAATGGGATTTGCTTTCTGACTGGTTTGGCAGGGATGCAGTGGAGACATCTCAGGGTTTTGACCCTGAATCAATCCCCTTTGGGCTGAGAAGAAGATGATTTCATGGCCTGGACAGTCCAGAAGCCACTTGTACAAACACCGCACTAAATGTGCGTGGTGCATCTGGTTCTCCCTTGTCTGGGCAGGGTGTTTGTGGCCTTCCTTTGGAGGAAGCTGCCTCCCACTGCTAGGCTAAGAGAGGCAAATATGTGAAGGGGATGCAAAGGCATTCATGCTTCAGTCAGGAGGTGAGTGCTATCACAACAGTGGCGGCAGCACAAATGAAAGGTTTTCTTTCCCCATTGTGGAGGTAAAAGGACCCATGCTGGGTATATGGAGCATATGGCCCTTGTGAGTTGAAAACTCCAGGCTTCAGCTTTTACTGACTGAGCATTTCTTACCCTTCAAGATATTCCATGGCCTTCCTGGCAGCTATTCCTGACCATGCTGTGGATAGCAGTTAATAATCGGGGACTAGAATAAACTGTTCTCTCAGTGTGGTGAGAACTGGGAACCAAGCATAGATGAGAGTCTGAAAGTGGATTAGATATGATCAGAGATTTGGTGTTCTCTTATAGTCTCTTGGTTTTTTTTTTTTGCTGTTTGTTTTAGAATTGACCTACTGGCTGACCAGGTCACCAAAGTAACACTGGGACGATTACACTTCAGCGAAACCACAGCAAATAATATGAGAAAAAAGGGAAAACCAAATCCAGACCAGAGGTACTGATGTCACTGTGTGCATGGCAGTGTGGCTGGGTACTTTATCTGGCCAGGAAGTGCCCTCCTGGGGCCCCTCTGATCTTCCTGGTGCTACCAGCCAGAACACAGGGCCTCTAAGCCACTTTCCTCCCTTCTCTGACTCTCAGTTTATTAACATTTCTCCTTTACCTGTGGACATCTTTCTTCTCCCAACCCCATGCCCTGCAATGCCCACTTTCCTGCCCTGCCCTGTCTCTGCCTGGCTCGATTGCCTCCATGTTTTTCTAGAGTGACCACATGTTTATATCTCATTGCCATCCACAGATTGAGGGCTGGCTGCATTTCTCAACCAGTGTGCTGATCTCTAGTCTTGAAGTTCTGCTATGACCTTTTTGATTAAAAAAGAAAATAACTTGTTTTCATGATTTAGACCTGTGGTTTTCAAAGTGTGGTTCCGGGACTAGCAGAGATGGAAACTCATTAAAAATGCGAGTTCTCGGGCCTTACTGAAGAATCAAAAACTCTGAATCAAAAACTCTGGGGATGGGGCTTAGCAATTTGTATTTTAACAAACCCTCCAGGTGACACTGATACATACTCAAGTTTGAGAACTGCTGCTTTTAGAACATAGGTTTTGGAGTTGGATAGAATTGAATTTGACTATTTGATACTGGCATTTACTAGGCGGGTGACCTTGGGCATATAACTTAACCTCTCTGAGACTCATTTTCCTGTCCTACAAAATAGAGACAATAACAATATTCTACTCCAATGAAGTTGTTTTGGTGCTCTAAGTAGACTAATGTAGGTAAACTGCTTAGCCCGGTATATGACACACTGAGCTCTTGACAGTAACTAATAATAATAATGATAACGGTTACTACTCTTACTGATTTACTTTAGATGCAGAGGGAAACTCTTGTTCTCTAAGAGAATAGGAATGTTACAGAGGAAGCTGGTGAAGTTTTTTCATGCAGTTCTTGGGCAAAAGCTTCTTTGATGAGGATAGTTTTAATTTTGACTTTTAAGAAGTGGTCTAGTCTTAAAACTGTCTCATCAGTGGTACGTATGAAGAGGAATTGAAATAACAGTGATGAAAATTGCCTTGGAAGCAATTGAAGGGGAGGTCTCAGTCTTTGGCTAAAGTCAAGCCCAGAGGTTGTTGAAGGCACAGGATATATGGCCAAGAGCAGGCTGAACTGGGAAGGATCCAGTGTGGTGGGGCAGACCCTAGGAGTCAGTCTCCATTAAGGCCCAGGCCATGTGGCTTCTGGGGCTCTGAACAAAGGGACCTTTAAGGTGGCTTCCTGTTGTATTTGTGAGCCATGCTGTGCTGAGGGCTCAGGACTGCAGCGTAGAGAGGCCTGTGCTGAATCAGCACAGATAGGCTGACTCCAGACCCCTCCTGGGATGTCTCCGCAGGGTGGCCTGCTTTCCTGCTCTTTTGGGGCATGTAAAACAGCTCACAGATACCACCAACTGGGCAAAGAGCTGACCCATAACAATAGCAAGTGAATCAACTACTCTCTTGTTTCACTGGGGGGACAACTTAGAACAGAAGGGAAAAGGCAGTCTTTAAATAAGCAAACTCTTCTCGATAAGTTCACTATTGATCAACTGTTGGGTGGTATTTGTTTGTACAAATTGTGTCTCCATTCCTGATGCATTGGCATTGGTCTGCTGTCTCTGAATTAGATACTTCATGTTGGTGGTTGGACTGTATGCTGCTAACCAAGACCAGTTCTATCTGTTGTCTGCCCACATCTCTGAAAGGATCATTGTAAGGGTAAGCTCAGTTCTCTGACTTTTCTGGATCTCACATGCTTTCCTCCTATGTAGGCAGAATTTGAATTTTCAATGGTGTGCTTGAATATGCTATTTCGATGATAATGATAGTAATGGCAGAAACTATTATTTTAGTTTTCACACAGTGGTTCACAACCAAGGGCAATTTTGTTCTCCAAGGGTCACTTGGCAATGTCTGGAGACATTTTTGGTTGTCACAGCTGGCATCTAGTGGGTAGAGACCAGGCATTCTGCTCAGTACCTTACAATGCACAGGACAACCTCCACAACAAAACATTATACCTCCCAAAATGTCAGTGGTGTTGAGGTTGAGAGACTCTGGTTTTTACTCTATGTTCTAGGCACTGAGCTAAACAATTTATATATGACATCATTTTACATTGTTATACTTTCACATTACATTATTTATACCCAGAGCAACTGAGGCTTAAGAGACTAAGTAACTAATCCATGATCTCATGAATTGTAAATGATGGAGCCTGGATCTCTCTGACCCTAAAGCCCACAGGGTGGGGAAAGTGGTAGGAAAGCATTCCAGGCCAAATGTGATTGGTAGCACCAGGGCATCTGGGCTACTGTCTAGCACATGGGAATGGCTGGTTCAGCACATTTTGCTGAATGAATGATTGGTCACAGCTGTGCAGCGGAGTCTTGGCAGGCACAAAACATAAAGCTGTTGGTGGCTGCAGCTGCAGCTGTGTGAGTTCAGGCTGGCCACCACTGAAAATACCAGAGGCATGAAGTAACAGGTAGCCACAGGCCTGGAAGCCCTGGGAGGGGCTGTGTTGTTATGGATCTTTGAAGTGATACAGGGAGGCCATGCAAACTCCAATAGAGAACAATGTTCACTGTGGGCCTGCCCATGTATGTGGCTGTTAACCTGAGGCCCTGAGGAAGAAAAGAAGATCTGCCCATTTGGGGAAATGGCATCTCTCCTTGCCCGTGTTGAACTGTTCTGAAACAAAGGGACCTCTGTAATTCCTTTTGTCAATTAAAATTAATAAGCCTCCTATTAGTGGAAATCCTTTAACTATGTCTCAACGTTGTAATGGAGATGAAGTGATGATAGAAATGAGGTAAAACACGTATGTGTTCAGCAATCCCAGGGTTAGGGAAGGACATGCACACCCCAGGCTGCATTTTTGTGGGTTCTGACATAACATGCAGCAAATGAGGATCATCTGGGGCAGAGGCAGGTGGGGCCCTCTCCTTGCGTCATAAGCCAATACAGAGGTGCCTGTCCATCCCTCTGCAGGGGCCAGGGCCATCTTTGACATCTTATTTGATGTAATCTGGAATTGCCTTGCTGTGCTGACAAATCTGATTTAAAGTAAAGTCTGGAAACCCAGGTTGCATATTGTTTCTCTTAGGAAGGAATAGAGACAGATAATGCCATTCTTTTCAGAGTTAGCATAGCTAAGATATCATGACAGTACTCTCCGGAGCTGTATAACTTATGCTTCAGACAGATAGTCTGCTAGTCACCTGCATACTTGGAATAATTTACCTAGTGACAAGGTTTCTCCATTTGCTGCTGACAGCTCCTGCAAAGCTATACGCAGCTGCTGTACAAGTCCACACAACAGCAACATGAGAGGGAGGGAGCTCCACTCTCTAGCATTCTGTTTACCAAAAACTCTCTGTTAATTGGCACCTCCTCAAATCCAAAGCACAATGATAATGAGATCATAATGATGACTTTGAGAAGTCGAAAGTTCCATGATTCGTATTCGGTGTGAGTACCAAAAATATTAAATTTACTCAGCATAGTTTGGGTGTCATGCTATTCACTAAATTTTTATTTCAAAAAATGATTGTATTCCAGATCTGATAGTCTTCTCCCAGACACAATTTTGGTTAGAGAGAATACCCTATTCTACAAGTGTGCTGTATAACACAAAAGTTACCCTAACAGCATTGAGAAGATAAGGATTACTAACATCAACCATTCATCCCCCCACTAGAAATATCTTATTATTATTTCATTCAAACTCTGAAACACAGAAGTGAAAATGAATGCAGACTTTTTGGTTTATTTAATTGTTTAAGAAATGGCATTATTGTTTGAATTAGTGAGTTTTAGAAATGTCCACAGAATACATTTTTTGCCACCTGAGATTCTAGAGGGGCCTATACAGGTGCATACAAATGGGTTGGGCAGAGGGCAGACCAGCCAACATTCTACAAAAGAGCCAGATGTGGCCTCTTAGGCCATGGCCTGGTTCTGTTAGTTTAAGCTCCGGAATGAAGAATGGGAAGAAAAATTTGACAAAGACACTACAAGCCCTGACTACATTAAATGGAGAAATGAAAACTGCATTTAAGCAAATCCAGACTTGTTCTGTGGCCTAAGAACCACTTGTCCTAATGGCAGAGATTGGCATTTTACTATTTGGTAAGGGTGATTGTATGAGGGTTAGACCTAGATGAGTTCCAGGTCTCCAGGAAGGGTCCAGAATTCTGACCAAGCTTGTCAGAATTCTGCTTGGAGAGAGAATGGTGGGCAGGACCCAGTAATTATTCATCTGGGTTGTCAATCAAAACAGCTTTAGAAGTATATTATGGTCCTGTAGTATAAATTGACCAATTTAATGAAAATTAAGGCTTACTCCAAAGAACAGATTTATTTGCAGAGTCTTTGTTTCTGGGAGCATTTCCCAGTGGAGTTCCTTCAGTTTCCCCTTGTTAATGACTGGGCTGTTCTATCTCAGCCCCACTTTCCTTCTAAAATACTTAATTAAACCTGGTTTGGAGTGCAGTGTTGCAAGCAGGAGGGATGATTACTTTTGTCTGCCTTTCAAAGACACTCTAGGGTTTCCTCATTTTGAAAACCAATAGATTATTCCAGTTTCTTTTCCAGAAGAATAGAAATGGTCATGTCCCCAAGAATTCTTCCTCTACTGCTCTGCAAATCACAGTGCGTGACATGGGAAACCAAACCTAGGGTTAGGGAAGATGATATAATAATGCATATGTGTACACATGCAAACACACACAAACACAGACACACGCATTCCTCTTTTGGAGTTCAGATGAATGTTTGTTTACTCAAAGAAAACAGTTTATGGAGTAATGCCTGTTTTGGACTCAACAGATCTTTCTGTCAACTACAGAAGGGCAACTTACGACCAGGAGTACATGGCATAAAGAAGTAGTTCTCAAGCTTGTATTATGAATAAGAATCCCCAGAGAGCTTGTAAGAACACAGATACCTGTGTTTTTGATTCAGTAGGTCAGGGATGCCTGAGAATATGCATTTCTAACAGGCTTCCAGGAGATGCTGATATTGCTAGCCTGCAGACCATGCTTTGAGTAGCACCAGCAGAGAGTATTTCTAGGTCCTTTTTCTGTAACCCTCTCAAAAGGTGCAAAAATGGACTTCCTAAGAGCTGCCTTCCTCAGGTCAAGCTCTTCTATTAGTTCATTGGCTGCTGCTTTCGAATCCCAAACGATGGTAAAACAAATTCCAGCTTTTCACTTCTAACTCAGCATAGCCTTCAAATTGCTGCTGATGCTGTTTTCTATTCCAATAACCTGCAGGGGGCGCCATTTACATTGTATTTTTTATGAAAGGCGTCCCCCTGGAATTGTGCAACTCTGCAGGTGCGTTGCTGAGGAGAGCAGATGAAGCAATTATAGGTTAAATAGCTGCTGCTGTGCCCAGGAGAGTGTGTCGAGAATAACTTTGAGACTTTTCATCCTCATTTTTGCAAACTGTTCATGCACACATGATTTCACTTAATCCCACAATAACCCTATGAGGTGGGTAAAGGAGACATGATTCTTTATTCATCAGAGGAGGACACAGTACAGAGAAAGATTAAGTGGCTGCCCCAAGGTCACACAGCTAGTTTGTGTTATAACATAGACTAGAATGCTCGGGTCTCTTCCCTAAATAAGAGGATATGACACAAACAATAAAAATATTTTAGACATTTTAATTAATTTGTTTTGGTGTTTGATATCCATCAGCCACTATTGGGTCACATGTGAATACAAACTCATAATTCCAGAAAGAGGTAGTATATTGTGGCTTGCTTTCACACATGAAGGTTGTGGATTCCAGAGAAAGGAAATAAGTTCACAGATCTTATGAGAACATTTCCTGTTACTGATGAGGAATTCTCCCTAGGGCTATATATTTAGAATGTTGTGAATCTGTGGCCCTTTCCAAAATAATGTGAACATATTTTAGGGATTTGAGTTTTCATCTGATGAGAGCTAAGTGAGAGTATTGCAATTGTTCCAAAAAATTAAATCCACTTATATCTGCTGTTCCAGTATCAAGTTACCAACATGATAATAACTATCCCAAAGCTCATTATGAAAAAATTCATCACTGTCTTATTTTGTTTCCTTGAAGTGGCTCATTATGTTCAAAATAGAGAAAAATACATCACCATCTTATATGGCATACCTTTGGATTTAGTTGATTGGTTGCTATAAAAGGATTTGAGTCAAAGCCAATTTGCCATTCACAACCAAGGGGCTCTAGGGAACTTGCAGAAAAGCTCTTTGTTCAAGTAAATTTACACAAAATAATGTTCAAAGTTTTTACTTTATACTCTTCCCCCACTCCCCACTACCCTCCCACCCCATTACATTCTTTCACTGCTGTTTTTTTTTGTTTTTTTTAAATTTTCTTGAGACAGAGTATTGCTCTGTCCCCTAGGCTGGAGTGCAGTGGCATGATCTCAGCTCACTGCAACCCCTGCCTCCTGAGTTAAAGTGATCCTCCTGACTCAGCCTCCTGAGTAGCTGGGGCTATAGGAACATGCCACCACACATGGCTAATTTTTGTATTTTTAGTAGAGATGGGGCTTCACCATGTTGGCCAGGCTGGTCTTGAACTCCTGACCTCAGGTGATCCACACACCTCAGCCTCCCAAAGTGCTGGGATTACAGGTGTGAGCCACCACACACCTGGCCTCTTTCACTGCTTCTGTTTATCAAGTATCAATGGTTGAGTCTTCCAAGCAGCTCAGGGTTCAGACACTTGGGATTGAATTAGGAAATTGAAGACATCAAAAAGTTCTTTAAACCCAAACTAAGAAATAAACTTTGTGGTTTCTTTTAATTATTTTTAAAATTGTAACAAATGCATATGACAAAAACACTCAAACAATACCAAGAGAGTATATAGTGAAAGGTGAATCTCCCTCCTACCACTGTTTCTCCATCTCCCAGGCTCCATCCTTGAGGAAACCATTGTTATTGGTTTCCTGAGTAGTCTTCAGAGAAAATCTATGCATATTCAGGTGCTGAGCCTGCAATGTATCATATACCACCAGAAAGGTAAAAAGTCAAGTATTAGTACTGACTTTTTAGATAATCAGGATCACAACTGTTTATCTAAAGTTGTGACAGCCTGCCTCAATCATAAAAATACATCATAATTTTAAAAACAAATTAATTTTGTTGTGAGGATTTTGAGGGATTTAGAGATGCTTACTTTAAAATATTTGGGAATATATTCAGTGGCTACAGGGAAGCAGGAAGGAAGGCAGTGCAGTGGAACATTCTTTGACAAAGAATTTTATTTAAGAGTAAAATCTCCAGAACTTTGTCTAGTCCAATGGTTTCACTTGGATTTTCTTTGAAGATTGCCAGGACTACTTCTAAGCAATGCCGTGAAACAGGCAAATCATTATTTAATAATCAGAGGACTTGTAGTTCCAGCTCCAGAACTTATTAGCTTTGTGGCTTTGGGCAATTTATTTATCTTTTCAGAGTGTCAGTGTCAATAAAATGAGGACAATAGTACGTGTCTCATATAATTGCACTGTGAATTATCGCACAACAAATGTAGCTGTTATTATTCTTCCTTCAGTATCCTCTGTGTTTAGGGAATAGTTGATGTATATTAAATATATTTGTATTATCATTTGCTTGTCACTTGTGTATGAAATCATAAATATAAAAGCATTTTGAAACTATAATAGGGCTAGCTAAATGCAAGGTATTTTTATTTATCTGACTTTAGTACACCTGTAATATTTTCTGATATAATGTTCTGATTTTAAATCATGATGATGATGACTATTCCTGGAAAGATAGCCATTTTTAGTTTTCTTCTTTATCATCCACCTAGTATAACTGATCACATTCTTAATTCCAGATAGATGCAATAGAGATTGGATGTTTCAAATCAGGGTATACAGAGCTCCTGCTAGCGGGGAGGCAGAGTGGTTAGGGAAGCCTCCCTGGCTCTCCTGGGCCCCGGAATTACTTGGATATGTCAGAATGTCCCACTCAATACAGGATTCTCTTATGAAAGACTTAGATAATATTCAGTTTGCCTTTGCTCTGAACACTAATGTGATCATCTATTCCTGCTACTGTTACTTTAATTGTAATATATTTATGTATTTTTCCAGGCCTCTAACCCTGGGCAGTTTGAAAATGACAGTGATGCATTGTGGCAGCGAGGACAAGTTCCAGAATCTATTGTCTGTCACGGTCGAGTAGGAATCAACACAGATGCGCCGGACGAAGCCCTGGTTGTCTGTGGCAACATGAAAGTGATGGGGACCATCATGCATCCCTCTGACAGCCGGGCAAAGCAGAATATCCAGGAGGTGAGCACAGATTCAGGCCCTGGGCCCCTCCTCTGACACCCCAGTCAGGTTTGCTGGGTGCTCCTGGCCTCTGACACACCTTGAACCGCACATCTTTACATGTCACCCACTGGTGTGAGATGAACACACTGCTTAAAAATGATGACTGAGCTGCTGGGCATCTCTGCTGAAATTGTAAAGCAGTTCCTCCCTGAGAGAATGGATTTACCTGACAGGAGCAGTGGGCAAAGACAGCATGTCATTGGCCTCACAGGCAGCAAGTCTCAGTTATTTTCCACAGGCCATTGCCCTTCCTTCCATACTTTGTCAGCTTCCAGAGCTTGCCTTTTCCTTTCTGTCTCCCCACTCATCTTCCAAGCACTGTCTCAGTCCAGTTCCTGATCATATTTCTCTTGGATGTCTCCAGCCTCTTCCTTCTAGAGTCCCTGGCACCAACTCTACTGGCCATTATCTTCCCCAGGCATCGTCTTTCTCTAGGAACTCTTGAGAAGCTCCTCCTCCTCATCCCTTACTTGGTCAGTTCATCGCCAAGAGTTCCGGGTGAAGACCTTTTTCCTCCGTGGAGAGGCAGTTACCTAGAGGAAACCAGAAGTCAGGCCTAGATGTCAGGAGATGGCTTCTCCGCTTTGGGCTCTCCCCAGTTACGTGACCCTGGATAAAAAGCTTAATCTCCTTGAACTCAGTGTCTTCAGCTATAAGATGAAAATGGTGCCTGCCTGCCTGCCTGACACCCTTGGCTCTTTTTTATTTTTTAACCAGTTGAACTGAATCATCTTGGAAAGCTACAACTGCTATGTAGACCATAAGGATGAGGATTAAGCTTCCAATCCATCAGCCAGCTACTAACACCTCATTCCAACTTTTCTGCCATTTAATTATTTCCCATGCATTGCTTCTACCACTTCCCCATCATCTCACTCATACTACTTCTCTTGACAGCATTTGTGAAGCTGTGTTTTAAAAGTTCCTTTTCTCTCCTTTCCTTATCCCTTTTTAGCTAATAGAAGTCCTAATCTGTTCACTATTAGCCCCTCTTCCAGACTGCATTCCTTTCTCAGTGCAAATCTGCACTGGTTTTCCTAAACCAGCCAAGGAATGTCCTCCTTTGCTTAGAGGATTCCAAAGAATGGTTGTAATTGTAGACTTTTATACTGATTGTGAAGCTGCGGTTCATATTAGAAGAGCTGTGACCTACTAGCCAGATGGGAATGCAGAGCTAGAGAGTTCTTACATACATTTCCAGATGTCAGTCCTAGATATTGTGACTTTGAACTTTAGAGAGAGATCATCTGTCTGCATTTCAGGTCACACCAACTCAAATTTATCCTTGCAATTGGCTATACAATTCACTACCAAGTCTTACTAAAATGTAAATTGAATATAACAAGTGAGAAAAGTCCTGTACAACCCTTCCTGCTACCACCAGGCATAACACAGAACTTCATTTACAAAAAGTCTTCAAATATTGCTTGTTGGTTTGAAGAAAATATATTGTCTTAAAATAACAAGCTTCTGGAGAACTTCTCACATCCCTTCTAAAAAGCCTTCTCCATCTAAATGAAATGTCACTTCAATCCAGGCTCTAAATGTGAAATTTCTGTATCCCCTTCCTGCTCATGGCAGCATGATAGAATAAAGAAAATCCTGGTCCGTGGTTAGAAGTCTAAGAGTTTAGTCCTGACTCTGGCAACCACCAGCCCAGGAACTTTGGCCGAGAGGCGATCTGTGACTCTGTTTTGTTGTCTGTGAACAGGAAATGCTCATATTCATTTTACCCAGGTTAAGAGATTTTTCTAAACTCATATATGTAAGGTATTTTTTAGCCAGACAAGTCTAAGCAAAGAGAAATTATTTTCTATTTATACAAAATAAAAATTACATGTAATTTATTTATTAAATGATTTCATATTAATAGATTTGTTTTGATAAATCTGTGCACATTTTTGAGATATATATTTGTAGAAATCTTGTCTGTCCCAGTCCACTGTTTATTACAGAGATGAGGGAGATGATGGTAATGTTGATGATGCTGATGACAGATGTGTGAATTTCATCTTCACCTCTTCCTGACTTAGTTTTTGCAACTTTTAAAAAGAGAGCCTTTCTTTCATATACTCTGGGGATCTGACCCTTGGTCAATTTGATGGCATGCATAGGACTGGAAGCAATTTCTTATTCTTTAAGAGTGCATTCTAACCACAGCTGGCTTCTGAATGGATGAGCTGCTACAAAATGTAGTGGTCAAATATGTTACCTAATACTACAATTGGGGAAAATGGATATGGGCTGCTGCTTTGCCCTATGTGTTTCCTCACGCAGGAAACACAGATTTCTTTGTGGATATTAAGAACATGATTATCTACAAAGTCCTGGTGGGGGAGATCTCTGATGCTCACAGGGACACAGATCCAAGACATGGAGAAGATGACGCAGATATGACCGAAACCTCTGCAACTGAGGTCCTGGGCAGAGGAGCAGCTTAACTTGCCCAGCCATTGGCATCGTGTCTACTGATGCGACTGCAGACTGTGGAAGGACATGCAGCTCTGACGGTGGAAACTGAGCAAAACTAGGGGGGAAGGACACGCTGAACACTAAAGGCACATGAAGAACCTCAATGTCAATGCCCAAAAACATGAGGAAGTTGAGAGTTGAATACATCAGTCAAATTCTGTGGTGAAGGCTGAAAAAAGGTAGCAAGATATTAAAAAATTCAAGCCAGAAAAGGGAATCGTTAAGATGAAATGCTCAAAGGCTGTTTTGATTTTCTCCTAACCACAATACCCGTGTGCTAGTGGAAGACAAAAGTAGACATGAAAAAAGCTCAAGAAAGTCAAACATGCAAAGTCTCCCTCTGGGCCAGGAGCCAAACGCAGAAGTTCCTTTGCTCAGGGTGAGCAGGTGTCATTTAAGCTGCTCCTAGTCCAGACTGTGGCTGGGCTGTGGGCCATCACCAGATGACAGATAGCCTTCCCTGAACAGACTGAGTCCCATGGACTGGAAGGTGTTGTCTGTGATGCAATTCTTGAGCTAATGATATATTATAGAAACCTTGGGTGTGAGGCAGCATGATGCTGATGGCTATTTGCATCCATGGTCAAAACTTTCCAAAACTTCTGTGGGCAAGGTCAAAGCAGACACCCAAATTCAGTTTTCAGTTTCTTACTCAACAGGCATTGAAGAGCAAGGCACAGCAGTAAGTGCTGGCCTGGGTAGGGTTCCTGGGAGGATTCAAAGAAGGCACACCCTTTGCCTCAAGTGTTTTCCCTAGGCCAAGTGTACACATAGGGATCATGCAATACAGGCTACTGTTTATATTTAGCTTTGGGAAGACTATAAGTCCAGAAATTAGAAAAGCATTTTGTTTGAGGAACATTGTCATATAAAATGTTTAGGTCTCCAAGTAACCCTCAAAATTTTTCTTGGCTGAAAATCTGTCTAGAGGATGATAGTAGTACCAGAGAACCTAATGCTATGTCTAGCAGTATGTCTTGGGGAATCAAGGATCCAGTTTAGAAACCAGGGACCATTTCCCTCTCTGTAGCCTGGACAGCCTACATGAGGGTACTTTCTCCTCTGCTTTTCATCTGCAACAAAGGAACCAACACTGCCTCTGCTTCCTTCTTTAGCTGGGGCCCTGCAGGTGGGGCAGGAACAAAGGGGAAAATAGGGATTGGGCATAGGACTCACAGGGGCCTATGGCTGAGGAACTGGGTAGGGCCTAGGCAGTGCAAGGCCAGTCCAGGCTGGCTCCTGATTGACCCTCTCTCTTCAATTCTCTTCATGTCAGGGATTGTCTTGCCATTTTAATACCTTCGTTCTTTTATTCCTTCTTTTTTCCATCAAAAATTTTAGGTGCCTATTACATGTCAGACACTTTGCTCGGTACTGTGCAGGTCCTGAGATAAATAAGACTCAAGAATGAAACTTTTACTAAAATTTAAGCTCCAAAAGAGAAACACTCATTGAATCTCCAGTGCTTAGGAGATCATCTGGCACATAGTAGCTACTCAATAGATATTTGTTGACTGAGTGAAGGCGCTCACAGTGATAGATATATGCACAGGGCTATATGAGATTGTGACTGTTCCTTCCAAGTATGACCTGCAAGGCCCTCCCTGCTCTGGCCTTAACCATTCTAGTCCAGTAATGCCAAATTCTGCCTTTGTTCTGCAGATGTCATTCAGGGCATTTGCTGTCTCGGGCCTTGGTTCATGGTGTTCTCTGTGGCTAGCATTCCTGTCTTAGTCTCATCCTTCCCCCTCCCTTCCTATCTTACATCTTTCCCTAACGCTTTAAGTTATCAATGTATTTAACAATTATTAGCTGAGCACCTACAACATGCAAGGAATTGTATTTGAAACTGGTGATATGTTGATGAACCATGACCTTAAACATGTCCTCACTCTCACGGGGTGTATGTGATATAGGAGAAGACAAAGAATGAAGTTGACACAATTAGTTGTCTTGTAATTGTGACTCATGCTATGAAGGAGAACTGGTGCTATGAGCACATAAAGCAGAGGAACTTTGCCTAGACTTGGAGGTCAAGAGATCCTTCTCTGAGAAACAATGCTTACATTGGTGAAGGGGAAGGCAGGGGAATGGGAAGGAAGAGCTTTTGAGTCTGGGAAAACAGCATGAACAAAGGCTGGAAAGTGAAAGGAGCAGAGTTTGTCTGAGGAACTGGAGTAAGCCAAGATCTCAGCTGGGCTTCATCATCGCTAGGAAGCCTTCCTTTACGTGTCCCTGAGAATATTTTCAACACCTCCTCAGAGCTGTAATGATTCTCTGTGCATAATTCCATCATTGTACTATGTTTCTCACATTGTAATATAATCATATATGATTACGTATGTATCTATCAGCTGGGTCTTCCTGTCTAGACCACAAACTTTTAAAAGGCAATTTTTTAAAACTTTTATTTTAAGTTCAGGGGTACAAGTGCAGGTTTGTTACATAGGTAAACTTGTGTCATGGGGGTCTGTTGTACAGATTGTTTCATCACCCAGGTATTAAGCCTAGTACCCATCAGCTGTTTTTCCTGATCCTCTCCCTCCTCCCACCCTCCACCCTCCACCTTCAAAAGGCCCCAGTGTATGTTGCTCCCTTCTATGTGTCCAGGTGTTCTCATCATTTAGCCCTCAGTTATAAGTGAGAACATGCAGTATTTGGTGTTCTGTTCCTGTGTTGGTTTGCTAAGGATAATGGGCTCCAGCTCAAGGCAATTATGTTTTAAGTCCCAACACTTAGTAGTGCATGATATGTTAAAGGTGATTGGTAAATGTTAGTCAAATAAAACAAAGAATGAATGATGGCAGTAAGCTCAGAATTATACTCTGGAATAACTTCCTGAAATAAAGCTAATCCGTTTAGCCAATTAAGCACCAAGCTACCATCTTTCACAACCAGTCCAACTAGTGAAGGGCTGAGAATCCTAAACGATGGTGGAGGGGCTCTACTGCCACCTCAGGGAGTCTGTCAAGGGAGGAGCTGAGGGCCATGACAGTGGTTTTCTTAAAACAACAATAACAAAATATGTTTTTGGTTCCTCTATCACATGGATGAATGCCCAGGCAGTTTACTTTTAATTGCCTCAATAGCTACTCAATAAATATTTGTATTTATTTGTAATTCTATTATGTTCCAAAAGAAAATTTAGGGTACCCACAAAGGGCTACCAACTTTTTTGTCAGATAAAGATATTAAAAAAAAAATTCTGCTATTACTATCATTTACAAAATCTCTCAATTTAAAGAGGAATCCTTTGGATCAAACCCATTTAGCTTTAGGGAAAGTTCACTGTACTCTCTTGATTGTTATCATTTTGCTGGGACCCCGTAGTGACAGTTGGGACAGCCTTTAATGATGTGAGAGCAGTGATTGCACGTAGAGGATGCCCTGCTGGCCGGGGTGATGTGGGGGAGGCATGTCCAGGGGAAGGAGGGTGGCTGGGTCCTGAAGGGCCAGCAGTTGGGTAATCCTGGCTTGGAATCCACTTGAAGAAATTATCTCCAGCAAAATGTCCAAAAGCAATTCAGTGATGTCTCTGGGTCACTCTGGGCATTAATTTGAATAGCAAATATCTATGCGAGTAAAATCTGCTCTTCTTTAATTAAATTAGGTTGACACGAATGAACAGCTGAAAAGAATAGCCCAAATGAGA
Organism: Homo sapiens; assembly: GCF_000001405.40. NCBI lineage: Eukaryota > Metazoa > Chordata > Mammalia > Primates > Hominidae > Homo > Homo sapiens. The sequence continues at coordinate 69,910,011 of NC_000012.12, forward strand.
ATTGTTGAATATGACTACAAACCTGAATTTGCATCTGCAATGGGAATAAACACTGCCCATCAAACAGGTACACACACAAATTCCCCTTTTAATTTTGTATTGCCAACTATTAAAATTTTAATTACCTCTTTATTTTGAGGTTATGTGCTATGGCATTTGACAACGCTATGTTGATCTAACTTGTTCTCTGTGAAACTCATAGTCACTAGAACAGGAAAGGTTAAAAAATTTCTGTGTCATTTTTACTCAACACCCCCACTCCTCCACCCCAAGGTACTGGTGGTGTAGGTTGAATATATAGTTTCTTTGCACAGGAGTCCTTTTGCTCATGGGCTGAGGGTTCAGGGACAGATGATGGCTCAACCTATGTGAGGAACGGCATTGGGCAGTCGGGAGGTGGAGGGAGAAGGTGGCAGGGTAAGTGGATCTAGATAAGAGAAGGGGTAAGCAAAGTGATGTTTATACTCCAATCCAGGAAGCCTAAAGAAGGAAGGAATAAAGGAATATTTTAGGGGCAAAGGCTTCCTATAGGAAAAGAAAGGAAATCAAGCCAACGCCCCATCTTTACTTCTATGGACAGGGATTTTAAGGCACTTACCTCCCCCCTGTTGGCCCAGAGTCTCAAAAAAAAAAAAAAAAAAGGAAAAGAAAAAACAGAAAACACTCCCACTTTTAATCCTATAGTGGTTCTTGGCTCAAAATTCCTTCTTTGCTGCAAATGTATTGTAGATCAAAGCAAAAGCTTAGAGAGGATTTTCTCCAGAAAGATCTTTCTTTGAAGATTAAACCTGTGGAGTGTTTTGTATACAGGAATGATTGCCCAGGAGGTGCAAGAAATCCTGCCCAGAGCAGTAAGAGAGGTTGGTGATGTCACCTGCGGAAACGGAGAGACCTTGGAGAACTTCCTCATGGTGGATAAGGTAATCACTGAAAAGATATCAGCTGCTATAAGCTATCAGTCTAGGGATAAACCCCCTTCTGTGATAGCACAATGGGCTGAAACATCCAACCAGGAAGTGGGACATTAAAATAATTCTTCACTGAGTTGTGGAGTGAGTAGGTATCAACTCTCTTATAATTGATATTCAAATTGATCATAAGCACCAAAAAGAAGTTCCATATGATAAAAAGGAAAATGCATATGCAATAGTAAGAATTCGAGTTCAGCAGATCTTAACTGGCACTAGGAAAGTCCACTTAGCATGAATGCACTTTAAACAAGGGCCAAACATCATGATAAATACTGACAAAAAAGTTTTAATTAGACTTCATCTTTTAAAATGGTAATAAACTTATGAAAAATGCATTATATTTTAGGTAATGCAACTTAAATTATAATTACACAATGTGTTTCTTCTTAGAATGATTAAAGATTAAGTGAAGTGTTGAATTTTTTGAGCATAGTTTTTTTGATGAAACGGTGTTTGACTTTTACAGTATAATCATAAAGTGAGTCATTTTTATGAAGATATTCATGGGCCTGATCATTTTTTTCCCAAGGGCCTCTCTTAATTCTTTGATATTCAAATCATTCTCTTTTGAAGGAATGCCATCATGCCTGTAGATTAGCTCGTCTTCATTTGGTAATGGGTCTAAATCTGCCAGTTCCTTGCTTGTCGATGCTGTGTGTATGATTTGAGGAGTTCCCTAATACCATATCTATTGATTCTATGAAATCCTGCATTTTTGCAAGGTTTGCAAATGCACTCTGATGCTGATTTGTTTTATACTGCATTATTATATTTGATGCTGAGAGGAAAGACCAATTGATATAAGGGTTTTGTAGTCATGGGGAGAGATGCTTGAGTGGAGACTAATTTATAATTTGTCAGTTAATGGAGGTAATGCTCCCTGAACTTCAAAGTGCACATGCATCACTGGGAATCTTATTAAAGTGTGGATTCTGATTCTGCAAGAATGGAGTGAGGCCAGAGATCCTGCAATTCCAACCAGCCTCCTGGTAATGCCAATCTTACCAACCTTGCTGGTCAGAAGCCACACTTGGAGCAGCAAAGCAGAGGATGCCTTTTCATGTTAGGCACCACCACCATCTTCCACCTACCAGCCACTGTACCACAAACTCTTAGATGACATGGTCTGGGAGGCCTGCTCAGCCCAGGGCTGCAAGAGCACAGTGGCAGAAGTTGACTTACTGCCTCCTGCTTCCCAAGAACATATCTTCGATAGAAGCAATTCTTCAGTCTCTCTCCCAGACCTGGGCTATCATTTCACTTGAGAGGTATATCATGAAACATTTATTTATATATTTATTTCCCAGGTTTTTTATTGTGGTAAAATACACAAAACATAACATGTATTATCTTAACCATTTTTAAGCATACAAGTCATTGATGTTTGATACGTTCATCATGTTATACAACCATCACCACCATCCATCTCCAGAACTCTTTTTCATATTGTAAAACAAAAACTCTGTACCTGTAAAACAATAACTCCCCATTATCCACTTTCCCTAGCCCCTGGCAACCACAATTCTATTGTCTGTTTCTATGATTCTGACTACATATAAGCAGAATCATAGAGCATTTCTTTCTTTTTTTGTGGCTGGCTTATTTCACTTAGCTTAATGTCCTCGAGGTTCATCTATGTTGCAGTGTGTATCAAAATTTCCTTTCTTTTTAAGACTGAATAATTTTCACCTTTATTCACATTTTGCATATCCATTCCTATGTTGATGAACTCTTGGGTTGCTTCCATGTTTTAGGTATTGTGAATAATACTGCTATGATTGTCAGTATTCAAATGTCTCTTCAATATTCTGTTTTCAATTTAGGGGGAATATTTACTCAGAAGTGGAACTGCTGGATCACATGGCAATTCTATTTTTAATTTTTTGAGGAACCACCATACTATTTCCCATGTGACGATATCATTTTACATTCCCACCAACAGTTCCCAAAGATTCCAGTTTGTCCACGTCCTCACCGATGCTTGTAATTTTTTTTTTCTTTTTTCAAACAGAAGCCATCCAAATGGGTGTGAGGTGATATCTCATTCTAGTTTTGATTTACATTTCCTTAATGATTAGTGATGTTGCACATCTTTTCATGTGTTTATTGTTCATGTATATATCTTCTTTGGAAAAATGTCAATTCAAGTCCTTTGCCCATTTTTGACTTGGGTTGTTTACTGTTGTTAGGTTTCAGGAATTCTCTATATATTCTGGATATTAATCCCTTATGAGATATATAATTTGCAAATATTTTCTCCCATTCTGTGGGTTGTCTTTTCACTTTCTTAATAGTGTCTTTATGTACAAAAGTTTTAAATTTTAATGATATCCAGTTTATCTATTTTCCCTTTTGTTGCCTATGCCAATGGTGTTCTATCCAGGAAATCATTGCCAAATCCAATATTGTAAAGATTGTGCCCTTTGTTTTCTTTGAAGAGTTTTATAATTTTAGGTTTTACATTCCTGTTTTTGATCCATTTTTAGTTAATATTTGTGTTAGGTAAGAGTCCAGCTTCATCCTTTTGTATATGGATACCCAGTTTTCCTGGCACAATTTGTTGAAAAGACTGTCCTTTTCCCATTGAATGGTCTTGGCATCCTTGTCTAAAATCATTTAACCATATATGTGAGAGTTTATTTCTGTGCTGTTTATTATATTCCATTTGTCTGTATGTCTGTCTTTATGCCAGTACCACACTGTTTTGATTACTCTAACTCTGTAGTAAGTTTTGAAATCAGGAAGTGTGAGTCATACGGCTTTGTTCTTGTTTGGGGGGATTTCCTTGTCTATTTTCAGGGTCTCTTAAGATCCCACGTGAATTTTAGAATAGATCTTTCTATTTCTGCAAAAGACAACGTTGGGATTTTGATAGGGATTTCATTGAATTTGTAGATCACTTTGGGTAGTGTTGACATTGTAACAATATTAAGTCTTCTAATCCTTGAACATGGGATGTATTTCTGTTTATTTATGCTTTCTTTAATTTCTTTCAGCAATGGTTTATAGTTTTTATTGTACAAATCTTTTACCATGTTGCTTAGTTAATTCACAAGAGTCTTATTCTTTTCGATGTGATTGTAAGAGGGATTTTTTTCCTAGTTTTCTTTTCAGATTGCTTACTGTTATTGTATAGAAATGCAGCTAATTTTTGTGTTGACTTTGTATCCTGCTACTTTGCTGAGAAATTTATTTTTAATAATAAAATACTGAAGTTTTCCAATAAATTACTTAAAAAATAAAATAGGGCCTGTTTTATTATTTCTAGGGCCTATTTAGAGGTCCTTTTTTTGAAGTAAATTATTAGAAAACTTTAGTATTTTATTATTAAAATACAATTAAAGCTTTTTTTCATAAGCTTTCTGTCATGAAAGGAAAGGAGTATAAACACAGCTATTAGTCCCAGGGTACAGCCTTGGGAGTATGTCAGCAAGCTGCCAAGGTGGGGGCTTATGGGGTTACCCTCTGGAAGCAGCTATATAACTTCTGGATGTGGCCCTCCACTAGAACACTCGAAGTGTTCCTGAGTGGCAATGTGTAGGTAATGTCTTCCTGTGGCAGCCAAATAATTAGTTCTCTCCCTTGTTTCCAGTATTTTCCCATTCCCTAGTTGAGTTGATTGGGAATAGTTGAGACAGAATCTTCTCTTTCTATCAGTTCCAAGGTCCATCCTCCTTCTTCCAGGAGAGGCTACAACCTAAGCTCATTCCTAGGAAGGCAAACTCAGAGGTCTGGAGAGGTAGGGGGTAGCATTCCTGTTCCAGGCAGCCAGCCTCATTCATGTGTCACCTGAGGAGAAAACCATGCCAAGGCAGCACTCAGTTTATAAATTGGTAAAACTCACAGGAGTCCAGGAGGGAAATGTTGTGATTCTCTTAAAAACAGGACCCTGGAGTGATGCAATCTATGGAGATGTCACTAAGGCCACACTCACTTACAGAATCTGTAACACCACAAGCAAGTGAACATCTCCCCACTCTGATGATGGAGGAGAAGCCCGGCAGTGTGCTGTGCCTCACTTCTGAGGATAGACTTTGTTTGCTAGTTTAACCCTCAACACGGTGGGCTATCCCTGCCTACCTTATAAAAGCCTCACAGAGCATCTCCTTTTTCTTTCTTTTTAAGAATACAGGTAAAGTGGCTCCTCTTGTCCCATGTTCTTTGTTAATTGTAAAACAAGCAGTATGTACAGCGAGCCTCTTGCTTTCCTGGACTTTTACCTATTCATGTGGGCAGTGTGGCTTTGGTTGCCACCTCCAGGGCTGCTTGTTTTAAGGAACTTTGCCAGGACGTCCTGGGCTTCATGTGCTGTAATAAGTGGAGGAGGTCATATGAAGGTACAGCCTCTCCATTCTTCACTCCATTTCTGTCCCATCACCTGATCCTTTTTTGTAAAGAAATTTTCATTGAAGTTCGAATGCAAATTAGAAACACTTAGGAAAATGTTGAAATATTGCCTCCATGATTGCTATGTCACTTCTGCAGGTACCTCACAACCTGATGCCAAAATAGGAAAAAAGAATGTCTGGATCTTTATAGACTGTCTATGCAAGCAACCAAAGGGGGTGATCGTTGTCAAAGTTGGTACAAGCAGCTTTTCTTTCTCCCTTCTCAGGACAGATGACCTTACAAAATAAACTACTTATCTGGGGTAATTTGCCTCTTCTCATATATTCCCCACAGTGTCCCTGTGCCCTAGTGAAGGCCCAGTGGCAGGAGGTGGAGTGAGAGGGATTGGGAGTGACACTGAAAGCAAGGGGACCTGTAGGCTGTAGACACCTGGCCTAACCCTGCATTAGACCGGTGGCAGCTTGGCCTTTTCTGCTTGTTCATCTATCTCTTTATTTGGCAATTTTATTTGTTTCTGTGATTCTTTCAGGGCAGGTGATCACATTTTTTGAGCATTATTATTAGATGTGCTTGCTGTAAGAAAAACATACCCAGTAAATATAAGTACTGCCTTAAAGTAATTCACAACTGAACCTGTTTAAAGGTGAGGTGTGTCTTGTGAATAATTATTCCTTGGACAATTCTTGTTGTTTTTTTAAATTTAAGATTGCATGCTGTACACCACCCTACTGTGGCTTAGTATGTGGGTACTTTTTACTCATTGATTCTATTTTTTTTAATCATAATGTACCAGGAATTGTCTATTTGAATGATGCAATGATAAGTAACCCTTAGTTCCTGTCTCCAAGTAGCTTATTGTCTAAGAGGGGGATGATAAGACAGGTACACAAGTAATAAAGCTCTAAGTAATAATGTGAGAAATACTATGGGATGCATAAATAAAGCACTACATCAGCTCAGAGGAAGGAGAGAAGAAAGCTGGAGACGGGGCAGAGGTTCACGGGTGGAAAAGAAGGGGGAAGACTTGAGAGGCAAGCAAAAGAAGACATGATGGACCTTGGGGACTGAAAGTGTGGCCAAGGGAGGACAGATGGCTTCTCAAACCTTCCTTTTTCTTGTCCATGATATGCAGTTAAACACTCAGTACTATTTTTCTTCCTTTGGCAATATCTTTGTATATCAGTTCTCTTCTTTATTCTCTTTATTCTTTCCATTTTTCTCCCACACTATTATAATGATCTCCTAACTGACCTGCTAGCCACCAATAAAATTATCTTCCTTAAAAACAAAGCAAAACGAATCTCTGATCATATAATCTCCCTTTCCCACTGGCCCTTTACTGGCTACAGACTGTTATAACCCCTCCACAATCTGGATGGAGTCTTCTCTTTCTAACTCGTTTCCTAATGCTCCCATAACCCCTGAATCCCATGATGCCTTCAGTGCAGCCAGACTAAATGACTAAATAAGTAAGGTCATTTATATTTGAAAAATATTTCATTTTCTCAAATAAGCTGGGCCCTTTCAGAATATGATGTGTTTGTGTCCTTACCTTGGAAGCCTTTGCTACTGCCCAACACTTTGCACTGAAAACTCCTACATATTCCTTCAAAAGCCTGGCGTTTCCCTGTGCTGCCTAGCTTTCATCTCTCTCCAGTAGCTTCCACGGCTCCCCTTCCCCAGCCCCTCCCTCTCTCTGTTCCTCAAACCTGCCAAGTATGTTTCTGCCTCAGAGCTGTTCTGTTGAGTGGTTCTCAGCCCTAAAGACTCTTCAGATGATCTCATCATTTGGGCCTTAGAGCAGTGCCGAGGCCTTCCTTAACCACCCCATATAAAATAGTCCCTGAATCACTTGGTTTCATTTTAAGAGTCAGGGCCACTGTAAGAATGTGTAGTGCCATTGCTCTAATTTTAAAAAGGGGCCTCCTCTGGCTGCTGCAGACCCTATCCACCCCCTCGGTTGGGCCTGTGCTGTAAACAAACTGTAAACTTGTTCAGGGCAGCCTGGAGGGTATTTGTCCCTAACTGAAATCATCTTGTTTATTCACTGACTTTTTTTTTTTTTTTTTTTTTTTGCCAATCTCTCCTATTAGTTGTATGAGAGCAGAAATTTATGCGTTTTAAAACTATCCAACACTTTATTGTGGCTTTTACCCCAGAACTTTAAGTACTGTAGGAATTCAACAAATATTGGTAACATGAATTAATGAATTCTGTGATGCCTTGGTTGATCCTGTTTCTGTACTGCCTTAGGCCTCTGCATATACATCTTCTAGACTATTTATCACATTGTATTGCCATTCTCTTTCCGTTATCTTTCTCCTTCACTAGACTGTGAGACTCCTGAGGTCAGAGAATCTGCCTCATCAGTGCTGTGTTGATTAGTACAGTATCTGATACATTGTGGATACTGCTGACAAAAATTTGTGTATATTAATGCCTGAGTTTTTAAATCTCCATGAAAGGAAGAGAAGTGGTTTTATTGACTTAAGGAAATCTGAAGGAGAAGTGATTTTCTGAGGAAAAGATAAGGTCAATATTGGCTTTGAGATGTCAACTGAACATTTAGATGAAAAAAAAAAAAAAGTCCAGAAGGTGACTGTGAGTGTAGAACTTGGGAGGGCAGCTAGGGTAGAGAGGAAGCTGCAGCCATGGATGAAGATGTTAATTAAGGAGGGAAAGGTTATGGGTATAGGTCACAGGTTGCAAGCCTGTGGCCAAGTCTGGGTTACAGACATTTTTTCCCCATAGTGTTTTAAAACATTTCAGATTTGTTCCCTACATTTAAAAATTAGGAGATCTTCATAAAAGTATCAGATTTATGGGTCCTTTGAAATATCAGAAGGGCTGGGCACTTGGGCTTGGAAGTGGCCCCTCCAATGAGGCTTCATGTGCCCTCGCATCACTGCTATCTATTACCTTCTTGGCCCTATGGACTTTCAAGTTTGTATGGAATGAGAAACAAAAAGAACCAAAGAACCGAAAGCAACACCTTAAGGAACACACCCAATTAGGGCCTGTAGAGGAAGAAAAGAATGTGTGAGGGCTGAGAAGATTGGATGAAAGTAGGAAGAGAACATGGGGCAAGCACAGTGTCAAGTGAACGAATAGGATCAATAAGGAAATGGGGAGGAGAGAGATGAGATGTGTGGCTCTCTCTGGAACCAATACAAGGAGTGGGGTGCAGGATACACACAGACTTAATTTTATAAAATACTGCCTATTGTTGCTCAGTTCTCATTCATAACAGCAGTGCTTGAGGCTTACTGTTTCTCTGTATCCTCAACACCTGACATTATCAGACTTTCTAAATTTTGCAATTCTGATTGAGTTAAAGGAGCATCATATTGTTTTAATTTAACTTTCTCTGATTAGTAATAAAGTTGTGCATCTCTTTCTTATGTTAGCTATTAGGTTTTTCCTTCTGTGAATGGTTTGATTCAGTGTTTCATTGGGTTAACTTGTCTTTTTCGGGACAAGAATATAACTTTTCACTTGACTCTATTATTTTATTCTTTCCTGGTACTTTCAAAAATAAAATGAATATACCAAGTCTATAGTAACAGCTTAAGAGACTGACAATTATTTTCTATTTCAATGCCTTGTTAGCTTCCTTCCTAGTGCTAATTACACCTTTGAACTGTATTATTTATTTGTGGTTTACTTGCTATTGGTCAATCTCTCCCACTAGAAGATATTCTCTATGAGGGCAGAGATCCTGTCTACTTTATCTAATTGTCTTATCCCTGCACTCAGGTGAGTGTCTAGCATATCATAGGTGCTTAATAAAGAACTACTGATTGTGTTCATCAATTGAATATTGAGGTGCCTGTGTCAGGTACTGAGTTGGCCCTGAGGAGTCACAAGAGAAAGTCACTGCCTTCAAAAGGAGCTTGTAAATCATCTTGGTAAGACAAGAAATCATAGAATTACAACAAACTATGGCATTTGCTAGTTCAACTGGAAACTTGTCTCCGTCAAAAGACTCAAGCCCTTTCCACAGAAAATTGCACTTAAATGAAAGTAACAAAAATTAAACGAGGATTCTAAGGCAAACAAAGGGCAACAATATTGCACACAATTTTAAACACTTTTATGAATCTTGTGCTCTTTCCATGTAAACCAGAAGAGAAATGAGTCCAAGATTTGTCCTGTTTGCAAGAGAAATATACATGCTAGGGAAGTCTGTCCTCCAGAGACCTGTTGAAAAGCCACCTGGAAGTCTGAGCTTCCACACCATCCCAGCAGCCTGCTTTTCTGGTTTAAGGATTCTGTGTTTTTAAATCCATGTCAGGGCCCAGTACGCTCTCCACAAAATAAACTCCTGGACAAAAATCTAAAGCTGAGTTTATTCAAAGCCCAAACAATTGCCAGACACACCCATTGGCTAAAGACAGTTTTTCTCCCGTTGGCAATCATTTTTACAATGCTCGATTACAAGCTGTTTTATTCCCATGGTTTTATTATACAACCTCAGTCCATGCAACACCAGATGCATCATTTACCATAAGGAGAGATTTTCAAGTCTGCAATGCTCTCTTATGAGGAAAGAAAGAAAGGCCTATTTCAACTTCTTGAAGCTTGCTTTGCCATCAGGCTAAGTTACCCTCGCTCAGTGTCACTAAATAAAGGATGAATTGTAGCTTCCAAAGAGAGGAGAAATCAGCTCCTCTGCCTGGCTGTGCCCCAATATCTTGGGTACATTATCTTTAGACCTGCAATGGACCCAGGAGCTTCCAAGCTGTGTTCTGCCGAGTCCAGGGATTTCCTGAAGTGGGTGAGGTGAGAGGGAACTCAAGGGCTTTCATCTGTTTCCTGAGCCAATCTCCTCGCAAAGAGGACAGGACCTAACCTGAGTAGAAGCTGGTTTGTTAGATATCATCGAATCACCAGCCCATTGCCCTAGATGATAAACACTAGTGTTTATCTAATTCACTCACATTTCCATGGACATTTCCCAATATGAAAAAGGAATTTGGACCTTAGGTGTTTTCTTTGTTTCTGTTTTTGTTCTGTTTTGTTTTGTTTTTTGCTTCTCTGAGAGGTACTTCAGATAAAAGAATAAACTAGACACTGGTACTCTCTTCATTTCTCTAGAGAGCAACACTATGACCTTTCAGTGCCTCGTGCCATGAACCACCTGTAAGAATATTTATTCATGTAATCATCAAATGTGTACTGAGTTATTAGTCTGTGCTGGAGTGGCAACTATGGATGAAATATAAGCTCTGTCCAGGTGAGCCCACTCTCTAGGTAAATCTGACACCAAGTTTAAGGAAGGTGGGAGCAGGGGAGGACAGGTGATTCAGGTAGAGGAAGCAGCATGTGCTAGATCCAGAGGCTAGAGGAATCCTGCCATGTTCAGTGAATGGCAAATGGTTCAATATGGTGAGAGCATGGAGCGTGAAGAGGGCTGTAGTGAAAGATGAGTTTTAGATAAGGGATACCCACTCTGAGCTCACTAACAGTTCTGATTTCATGAATGCTTTCCCATTGTTTCCATGTGCAATACACTTGCCGGACTGCCTCTAGTGCCCATTTAGAAAACATGCTCATTCTGTCCATATGTACCCTAACTCCATAGCAAGTCTCAAACAGTGAGTAAAAGTTTCTTAGGTTATTTGAAGCAGTTGCCACCTTTTGCTTCACAATCTCATTAGAAAATTTTGGTGGCAAGCTGGTTTAATCATTTTTACATCACAACTGTAGAGTGGTGTTTCAGCTGAGGTAGTGGACCCCATTTAAAACTGTTAATAGCTGGACAAAGTAGAGTAATTAATTGGGTTCAATTACAAAATGGTTAGTCATCAAGGATGGGCATCAAATGGGGAGACTTTTCAAAATGCCCCTCAGCCCTAATGAATCCAAGCTTCTTTAAAACATTTTTTTTTGTAGAGCTGGGGTCTCTCTATGTTGCCCAGGCTGGTCTTCGAACTCCTAGCCTCAAGCAGTCCTCCCACCCTGGCCTCCCAAAGTGCTGGGATTACAAGTGTGAGCTAATGTGTCTGGCCCATGAATCCAAGATTCTACATGGGGTCCAGACATGTGTATTTAGAAAAAATTTCCTCAGGCATCTGTGATATGGGTTCTTGGTTCAAATCTGCTCATACAGACCTAATCACTTGCATAGAAAAGAACATTTTCAGAAAAACTCTAGATTATAGTTTTGAACATATTTATACTGGATTTACTGTAACAATGGGGGACAGAAGTCAGAACTCCAAATATTTCAGTAAGAGTCAACCCCTATAATATGTATTAGAAATTTACTTTTTGGTAATTTTCTATTGGATGGATCCATAAAGTCAGAGCCAGCCATAATTATAATCAGGAAAGTGGTAGTAAATTTCCTCTCCACTTTTATTTCCTCTTGAATAGGAAAATATATGAATTATCTCCTTACCTATTGGATCTACCTGTAAGATATATGGTACTGGCAAATTTCAGTTGGAGAAATTAAACCTGGCCTTTTATCATTATTGACAAGTAACCAGGCAATTGCAGCCATTGCTTGTATCCTATGAGGCAGTATTGAAAGTCCTGTTGAGGAAAACACTGCAGAAAGAACTTTCTGCGGTTTAGAGGGGACTTTATTATAATTCTCCATAGTCTGCTTTGGCTTGAGCTAAATCATAAATTAATGTATTAAGCAATTTTTTTTTAAAGAAGGAGATGGTTACCAAGGGAAAAAAAAGAGTATCAGTAGTGTCAGTGAGGATGGAGAGAAGTGGGTGGCTTTGGGAGATTTAGGATGCCGAACTGACAGTCCTGCGTGGTAGATTGCCTGCCAGTGAGCAGGGTGCAGGGAGGGGTTAGAGAGGACGGCTGGAAATCTGTTTTGGGCTGCTGGTGGACATCAGCTGACCATGTGACCCACTGTAAATAATACAGCTGTAATTATAGTATAAGGCTCTCTACAGGGTAAACATAGTAAATAATGATTTAACATTTATCATGATTTAGAATCATAAAATGCTGTTTCTATCTTCATAATTTCTGCCTTATTTTTATTACAACAAATTTAGAAGTAAAGGAAAACCTGTACCAGGATTAGAAAATTTAGAAGGGCTTTTGTTAGGAGATTTTTGTTTTTGTTTTGTGATTTAAAAAAACACTTTTAATGAAAAATTTCAAATGTATAAAAAACTAGAGAGAATAGTAATGAAACCCCATGTATGCCTCACTCAAATTCCCCAGTTATTCATTTCAATTCTTGTCCAATCTTATTTTATTTAAATCACTCACCAGCGACCCTCTTCCACCAACTAGATTATTTAAAGCAACCTCCAACATCATACTGTTTTATTATATATTGTCAATACTTTTTTCTGAAAGAAAAATGACCTCTTAAAACCAGAACCACTATAACATTATCACACCTAAAAATGTACAGTAATTTCTTAATATTATCAAATCCAGTTGGTGTTGAAATTTCCCCAATTGTTTTTACATGTGTATGTATAAAACAAAGAAACAAATACATGCAATAGTTTTAGTAGACATTGAGGATTATTGCCTAGATCTATTGTTTCATTAGGTGTTGGAAAACAGTGATACTCTATCATTTCTTCTTCATTTATTCTCTGGAATTTATTATCTGGAATACTTTTTAAATGAACTTTCAAATATGTAGATGTTATATAGGACAGGCAGGACAAAGTTTTATTCTTTTATTTACAAGATTTAAAAAAAATGAGTTAAGCCCTTAATGTCTCCCAAAGGTAAATAATAAACTATTTTTAAAAATTGAATAGGATTTTGGATGCTTTTAAAGCACATTTGATTCTTTGTTCTATCATGGTAATTAGCCCTTTAATGTTCTATCTTTGGCCAATGAGAGCTTCTTCAGTTAGCTCCTGAGTCATTTTGACCCAACCACAGTACTCTGTGATAGCTTCCTTATTTTCTCATATTGAAAGATGTTCCAGGTTCACCTCAGACATATCTTACCCCAAATCTGGAAAAGTACTCAAAATCTGGGTCCTTTCACTGGGAATGGTATTTAGAGACTACAATGAGGAGTCTTCATGGTTAGTAGGTGGGAAGTTTTTTTCCAGTCCTTTTTAGTTAATGTAGCTAGAAAATGTCTTTTTCTTTTAAGAAATAAAATATATCAGAAATTAATAGTAATATTTCTAACTTAAATTTAGATTTGCTAGGGTTTTACTAAATGTTTTAATTTTATGTTTATATCTCTTTTCTTAAATGCTAAAAATCTTGGTTTATAGCACTATTAACTATGTATTTGTTTTATCCAAATATATATGTGTGCTATCTATGTGTGTATAATCCATCACTATTATTACTAACAGTATGATTATTGAAAAGCTTAAGATTCCCTTGCTGGTTGATTTTTTTTTTAAATTTTTATTTTTTGTCTTTAGGCTCTATCTCTCTGGGAATGGGCAGTCAAATTACTATGTTTTGAAGTCACTTAATGTCAATCTTCACTGTAAGGTTAAACCAGAAACTCAATACCCAATTAGGCTTATTTGTTTTATTTTGCCTTCTGTTTCTAGGGGATGTTTTTAAAAATTTTGTTTATTTTTTATACATATTTAAAATACCTACATATGGGCCAGGCGCAGTGGCTCATGCCTGTAATCCCAGCACTCTGGGATACCAAGGAGGGTGGATCACGAGGTCAGGAGATCAAGACCATCCTGGCTAACACAGTGAAACCCCGTCTCTACTAAAAATACAAAAAATTAGCCGGGCGTGGTGGTGGGCACCTGTAGTCCCAGCTACTCAGGAGGCTGAGGCAAGAGAATGGTGTGAACCCGGGAGGCAGAGCTTGCAGTGAGCCGAGATCATGCCACTGCACTCCAGCCTGGGTGACACAGCAGGACTCCGTCTCAGAAAAAAAAAAAAAAAAAAAAAAATCGTAAAATACCCACATATTCTAAAGGTTAATTTATAAAAACAGGATACATTCAGAGAATCTGGGTTCTATCCATTTCACCCATCTTGTTTCTTCCTTTCCATTATGTGTAACAATTTTAAGTTAGTTTTTGTTTATTCTTCATTTTATTAATGTAAGAAAATGTAGACATGTTTTGTATTCTTCTTATACTACAGACTTTGCTCCATAACAGTATATAGAGATATTCTTCCTTTCTTTTTACAGTTGCATAGTATACTGCTATGCAAATGTACCACAGTTTATTATCAATTCCCCTATTAATGGACATTTTGTTTGATTGTGGTCTCTTTTATTTCTTAATTTTCTCCAGGAGATCTGTGGAATAGACTCCTAGAAGTGGGTGTACTGGCTCAAAAATAAAAATATATGTAATTTTGCTAGATATTGCTAAATTCTACTCCAGATGGTTTTATCAATTTGTTATTTGGATGGATTTTGAAGGATGTATGGTAAGACTTCAGGAAAAATATAGGGTTTTCTGATGACATTTGAAAAGCTGATACAAGTATGATTTTTTTTGTTGTTGGATTTTTTGTGTTTTTTTGGTAAGTTTTCTTGAAGCAAACATAGGCCTCAGAAATCAAGCTTTTGGTCATTTTACATCCCAAATACAAAGGTTTTCTGCTTCTCTAAGCTGCTAACTCATAGCACTTTTCAATTCACTTGTGTCCATTCTTACTGAGCATTTCCAGTGGGCAAAGGCATGTGCTAAATGCTGGTGAGATATGCAAATAAATCAACATAATTCTGCCTGCCACAAACTCATGATCCAGGTGGGAGACAGACATATAACACCTGATACAAGGCAAATGGCCAGGTGATAGAATTGAACATGCTTTGAGGACACTGTAGAGTGAGGGATGCTCTCTGACTAGTGGTCTCTGGGGAGATACTGGGTATGATGGGATTTGGACTGGCCTTGAGGAAAGGCATTTTTATCTTAGGTAATTATGGGAATGAGGTCTCAGACACTGGAGAGTGCAGGGTGTTCAGGGGGCCTCAACAGATCTGTGTGGCTGCTCTGGGAGTTTCAGAGAGTTCTCCAGTGTATCATGAGATACATCTGTCTTTGAACTGCGTACACTAAGCCTTGAATCTGGAATGTTCAGCTTTTGATTCTTTCTGAGTGATTGCTCTACAGTGTTCGAAACCCTCAAAGCTTCAGTTTGGATGATAAGAATCTCAAAGGCACATAGCCCTGAGTTTGACCCTCAACCACAAAACAGTCTCTATTGCCCTTGAACTCAGCCTTGGACCAGCCTCTCTGCAATTCAGAAAGTGCTGTGGGATTTTGAACTTGCAAACAGAGAGAAAGATAGGAGGAGAGGTCATGGGGTTGGAATGTGAGTTGATAAGAGCTTTCCAGGCTTTTTGTTATGGCTGAGAAATGGGCATATGTGTTCATATGACAACTGAAGTGTGTGGGTGGGGAAGAGGATGGCCTGGACTCTCTGGGTTTGGTTGGTCTCCCCTTTCTTTTTCTGATGTGTCAGTGACATTCTGTGAACAGGAAGAAATATGTGCTTTAAAAAAATTGCTTTTTTTTAGTTAGGCTACAATATAAGCAGTATACAATAGTTCATTGGATTTTGAAGCAGATATTGACACCTCAATAATTATCTTCTCATTTATAGATGAAGAAATGGAAGCACAGAGAGGTTATTGCATTTTGTCTGGAGTCTCACTTCTAGCAGGTGACAGAACTCAGAGAAAAGCCCAGGTCTTTGTTCCTTCTTCCCTCACATGAGAAATTTGATGCGTATTTTATTAGGGAGAACTAGAGTCATTTTCTATGAATTTTGGTTATGAACAGACAATTCAACATCATTCAGAAGACTGTTCTGACTTTCTTTCTTCTTCTTCTTTTTTTTTTTTTTTTTTTTTTTTGAGATGGAGTTTTACTCTTGTTTCCCAGGTTGGAGTGCAATGGCACAATCTCAGCTCACTGCAACCTCCGCCTCCTGGGGTTCAAGTGATTCTCCTGCCTCAGAATTTTAAATATGGAATAATGGCCATTGAAAATAAATCTTTCAATTCCAGATTTGCCAATGTCCTTCAGCTCCATTTTTGAGTTACAAGGTCATATTTTCACTTTATTGGAAATTGAACAGAAGCAGTTTACTACACAGCCAGCAGTTTAGCAAGACTGTGTTCAGTTTCAAACCTCTCCAGATTTATCTTGAATGAACTTGAAGATGTGTGTGTCTGTAACCATTTTCAACAGTATAATCCAGCTGTCTTTGAATGGGCTGTAGACAGCTTTGTAGTGATCTCAAATTGTTAATTTATGCACTCTGTTTGATTTTTCCCTTTTAGGACCAGATCTTTATGGAAAATGTAGGTGCAGTGAAGCAACTGTGCAAACTAACTAACAACCTTGAGGAAAGAATAGAAGAGTTAGAAATATGGAACAGAAAGCTGGCCCGGCTAAAGCGGCTCAGTAGTTGGAAGTCATCAGCCAGTGAAGCAAGCACAATCAGGTACGTGCAGCCAGGATTGCCATAGAAATTTGGGGAAAGGAGAGAGTGAGCTCTTTCCAGAATAAGATCAATCTAAATGGTCTTTTTGATCAAACAGCAACCGCTACTTTCTGATAATGAAGTCTGCATTTTTCTTTTAGAATATTTTGGAGCACAATTGTCTGATGTGATAACTTTCTTAGTTTTTTTCTGTTGCTGGTTTTTTTTTTTTTTTTTTTTTTTTTTTTGAGCCTGAGTTTTGCTGTTGTTGTCCAGGCTGGAGTACAATGGCACAATCTTGGCTCACTGCAGCCTCCTTCTCCCAGATTCAAGGGATTCTCCTGCCTCAACCTCCCGAGTAGCTGGGATTACAGGTGCCCGCCACCATGCCCGGCTAATTTTTGTATTTTTAGTAGAGACAGGGTTTGACCATGTTGGCCAGGCTGGTCTTGAACTCCTGACCTCAGGTGTTCCACCCACCTCGGCCTCCCAAAGTGCTGGGATTATAGGCGTGAGCCACCACGCCCGGCCCTGTTGCTGTTTTAAAAGTGGAAAAAAACCATGAGACATCTGTTTAGTAGCAGTTGTTATAGGAAGTGCTAAATTTTAGCATAAGGGTGGCTTCTCCTTTAATGAGGAGAAGTGGTCATTTCTAAATTTAGAAAACCATGTTTGGTCCTCAGGGGGAAAACTTTCTGTTATTTTTTTTTTAATTGCTTAAGAAGGTTAATGCACATTTCCTGGGGTTTAGTTTTGAGAAAAAGAGAAATACAATGTTTAATTCATTCAGTTATACTTACTAAAGTTCCTTTTCACAAAAGGAACTCTCCATTGCCATGACTTTTTGTTTTCAAAATATCACTGTATTGCAAAAGAAAGTCATATTGCTATGTTAGTGACAGCCTGGGCCTTTGTCATGTATCTCCTGGAGAGGTATTTGAATAGTAACCAATTTTCTCTCTCTTTTAAAGCAAATCTAGCAGAGCCGTTAGTGCATCTTCTCCAAGAAGGGCCGTTCATAAAAAAAACAACAAGGTAAATAGACACATTTACAATGAAAGGAAATGATGTTTTCTACTTAAAAAGTCTTTAGAGAAATCAGTCAAGAATTTTTTTCTCATTTCTTTGTTCAGAAAATCCCTAGTTTGCATCCTTATGTACTATATGTGTTTAAATATTAGCCCTCTAGTACATATTAAATGGCTTTTAAAAGCAAAGTTTAGAGAAACGAGTACAGAATATGTCAGTCTCAGAATTATTATCTGCAAGTTTTTGTTTATGTTGTCCCCTTCAGGTGAAAGTCAGCAGCCTCGTCATACAGATGGCCTTGTGCTGCCAGATCTATGTACATGCCTTGACCGCCACCCCCTTATCTTTGGCTTTAGGAGATCCCAAAGGGACTTTAGTTAATCCTCAAATCCCTCTTTTCCCTTTGATATTTGGTACTAAATATGCAAATGGAAGAATAGGTATTCACTTGCTGGCAAAGGTTAAAATGTGATGGTTTTATTAGTGAATAAAGAAAGCATTTATTAAGTAGGATAGTATTTATAGTTAAAGCGAAGGTTAATAATTTATTAACTTGAAGGACACCCTCTCCATCACGAGAAATATCAGTAAGGAAGAAGCTGCAATACACCCTTTCTAGCAGCACTTTGTAAGTAGCTACAAAACTCAGCTTGCTCCCTCTGATCCAGCAGTGGCCCAAAGGTGGCCCTTCCCTGGGGAAGATATCCATGACCTTAAATGACACCCTATTAAAAGTTGACTTGATGCTTGTGCCACTGCCTCAGTTTACTCTCTACTCCTCATGCTATACTGTGTTGAATTATTCTAAAAGGATTCAGAAAGAGTTCAAAATTCTTCTACTAAAAACAAGTAAAGTATTATGCAGCTGACAAGCTCCTTAGTGTATTGACAAACACAAATACCCAGGTAAAAATATACGTAGAAGTGCTCTGGGGCAAGTTACTCAACCACACTGGGAAATAGGGACAATTATAGTATTTACAAAGATTGTTGATGGGATTTAAATTAGGATTAGGGGAGCTAAAGCTCTTTGCACAGCACTCAGCACATAGTAGGTTAGTCAATAAACACAAAACATGAATGTAGGAAAGGTACCCTTTGGACTAAACAGTTTTCAGTGGGACAGAGGGAATGGTATCCACATCTATGGCAGCCCTGATAGGTGCAGTTTGGTCACCTGCAATCTCTGTAGCTCCCATCTTGCAAAATAAGAGATTCTCTTTATTTTGCAGTTATCTCAGAATATTAACTAGAATATATGGCTCATGAGAGCAGGCCCTGTGTCTGCCTTCCTCACTCTCATGTCACTAGGGACTAGCACATAGTAGGCACTCAAGAAACGTTTATCAAATGAATACATGAGTGGAGAGCCCAGTATGAAAATATTCCCAGAAGTATGACAACTTAAATTAAAAAACATTAAGTGGCTCAGTGTCTTGGGTATGTGGGTGGGGTGTAAGCTGTGGTGCGGTCCCAGGGTCAGGGACTCATATAGGGCTTAAAGAGCACCCGTTCAACTCAGAGACCTCTTGCTGTCACTGTAGAGGGCATGTGGGAGGCAGAAAGGATGAGTCAGGTCTCTTCTAAGGAATTGCATTGTAGCCAGGGAAGATTGGAAAAAAATACAAAGAACAGTTGTACCTGGATGTCAGCAATGCTGCAGAGGCTCAGAGTGCCAGGAGGTTTATGAGAGTTGAGCCTTAAAGGAGGAGTAAGCTTTGGCTAGACATCAATGAAATTGAAGGAGAAGTTACAGATGGAATGGCATAAATGAAAGTCTGGTGGCTAGAACTGGCTTCCTTGAAGGATTAGGTGGGAGTTGTTTGTTTAGGGAAGATAGTGGAAGATGAAGCTGAAAATAAAGAAGCCGTGAAGGCATTTTGAATAATAACAATATCTAAGTTGTATAGTTTCCCTTCTTTAAAAACAGATAGTAAAAAGGAGGCAGCATAGCACTGTGGTTAAGAGCATAGATTCTGGAGCCAATTTTTGTGGGGTTCAAATTCCTGGCTGTGTGATTCATTAGCTGTGTGATCTCGAGTGAAACTTAGCCTTCCCCGTGTCTCATTTTCCCTATTTTTAAAATGGGATTGATAAAGGTACTTGCTTCATAGGGTTGTAGAGGATTATTGTGAGGATTAAATAAATTGATAGATGTAAAGCACTTAGAAGGGTGCATGGCACATAGAAAGTGCTGCATAATAGGTTGTTATTAATGTGTTCAAACTCAATATTTTAGTGAATCTCATTTCAGACTTGTCCAGGGAGCTCAATAAAACACAAATAACCAAAGTGCTTGCTCCCTCTGTGCTGACCTGCTAACAGATCTGAGCTCTTCCTGTGAGGTTGACTTTTCCTTCCATGCCACGACTCATCTCCTAGTTGTCCTCTGTTCCTTGGGGACTCTGTGGGTCATGGAAATGCTTGTGTGTGAGTGGGGAGTGGTATTCTGGGGTAGGGTGGGGGTCTTGTTAATGAGCAAATTGATGCTGTGAGCAGTTAGTGGGTCTTACCAGCTGGTAAGAAGCCTGGCTGGGCCCTGCCTTTACTTCCACACAGCTCCCAATGCTGGCCAAGATGGTGTTCATTCTGGAGGAAGATTGAAGTCTCCTGATGTAGCTCTCATTCAGTCAGTAGGGTTCCTCTTTTTTCCCTCTCTTTCTCCACCTCCAAGAGGTAGGTGGGTCATTCTTGCTATACGTAGGACTCAGGATGAGATAGGAAGCTCCCCAGGGTTCAAATAAGAATTCACTGACTATTTGGAGGAGGAGAGGGAAAGGGAAAGAATGAAGACGGCTGGGCATGGTGGCTCATGCTTGTAATCTTAATACTTTGGGAGGCCAGAGTGGGTGGATCACTTGAGCCCAGGAGTTCAAGACTGGCCTGGACAACACAGTGAGACCCCATAGCTACAAAAAATTAAAAAATTAACTGGGTTTGGTGGCTATAGTTGTAGTTACTAGGGAGGCTGAGGTGGGAGGATCGCTTGAGCCCAGGTGGTAGAGGCTGCAGTGAGGCAAAATTATGCCATTGCACTCCAGCATTGGTGACAAAGCAAGACCCTATCTAAGAAAAAAAAAAAAAAAAAAGAACACGGATAAATACTTTTTATTGTCCTACCTCTTACAGGTTCCCAGTCCCTACCCTCCCCCAAATAAAACCTATTGAATCAGAATTTTACATGTAGGGCATTTAGGGTTTTCTCAAGCACCATAGTAATTCTATGCACACCTTAATTTGAGAGCCATTACACTGTTCATTGGATATGCCTAATAACTCCAAAAAGTAGGCAGGCATTATTTTATTATTCCTATTTTACTGATAAAGAAAATGAGGATCAATAACATTTAGATAACTTGAAGACTCAACTCTAAGTCTGACTCCAGGTCTTAGGCCATTTCTCTATATTAGGTCAAAGGATTTTGAGGAAAAGCATGGAGACTTAAAATAATTCAGCAGCTGTGGGGGTAGGTTGAAGGGGAAAGCACTTACCCTGAGACTAATCCTATTTAATTCCAGTCAATTCAACAAATTTCATTGAGTTTCTTCTCTGTGCAGTACACTATTAAGACGTCCTCCGAACAGTTTCTGTGAGACCTCAGAACAGTATAAACCATTGACTTCTTGGTCATCAGAGCAGCTTCCAGCTGTACTTACAGATGACTCAGTTACAATAGCCCTAAGGGTCTGTGTACTTGGTAAAAATGGTATAGTGAATCCTATGCCCCTACCCTATGTTACATTGAAGAACATTTACTTTAGTCAGATAACTAGCCCAATAAATTAAGCCAAGAACCAATTTAAAATTATTACCACCTTATTCTACCCAATAAATTAAACCAAGAACCAATTTAAAACTATTACTACCTTATTCTAATACCCTAATAACCAAAAGCATGACTCTATCCCAAATTCCCCGGAAGCAAGCAGATATAATACTCCTTATTGCATTTATAGGAAACTCATATTTAAGTAGCACCTCATTTAAGTGGGCAGAAAACTTCTATCTCTTCAGCCAGATTCCCCAGCAGTTCCACAGCTGTTATTCTGCAGCTCTTGGCCTGTTCCCCATATGCAAGTTTTTATACCAATATGTATCAGTCCTAAAGTTTTGTCTCATTCACGTCCTGGAGACTATAATTTACTGATTTTCATGTCTCCTATAGTGTTGTACATAATACTGCTCAATAAATATTGTTGAATGAATATGAGAACAAATAAGACACAGGCCCAGAGATATCTGTATATACAGGTGACAAATTGAATACTGGTGTTATAATTTTAAAAAGTGTTTAGTGGGATTTCATTCTATAAAAACCTTTTTCATAATTTGTCATGATACCCGAAATCATTCCATTGGAATTCATCTCTTCATGTCTTGAAGATCTTTTGATTTTCAAAAGTATCCTACTCAAAGAGATGCACATCATCTGTGGTCTGACAACATCTCATCTCAGGTCCCCGTTTCTCATAAAACTGCAAAGATAAGTAAGTGCCCAATGAATGGCAAAGATCATTGTCTGCAGGATGTCTGGGAAAAGGGAGATTGCTGTAGCTTGGAATTTCAAGGAAAGGGAGGTACTTGAGATAGACTTTGAAAGAATGTTGTTTTCAGAGAGGCAGGGAGGAGGAAAGAGATGTAAATTGAGGCAAGCACTCAAACTATCCCAAGAGAGCAGCAAATACCCCTGCTGGGAGCAGTTCTCCAGGCTCCCTTCTCACAGTTAGAGTTGCTAATTTATCACTGCTCATTACTGAACCTTTTTATAGGTTTATTTTTCAGGAAAAAGACAGGCGTGTCCTAATTGGGTTTTCCAGACCTTGGTTATAACTCTGATTGCTGTGATGGCATTTTGGTAAGAAAAAGTTCACTGTTATGCCATGTCAAGCTCTTTTGTTCCTTCCCATGTTTCTTTTATCACATATGAACTGGGGACTGGCCTGTTTACTTTGAAGACAAGAAGCCCTTTAAACTAGACACTGAACTCTGATAGCATAGAAATGAGGGAACCTTTTTTGAAAACTCTTATTTTGAAGAAAAAAGCACAGGCTTTCTGCCTTAAATGTGACATGATTTTTTTTCAATTAACTGCTATGTTTAGCAGCAAACTGTGCCTTTCGTGTGTGTGTGTGTGTGTGTTTGTGTGTGTGTGTGTGTATGTGTGTATGTCTTTCTTAGCTTTGCAAACAAAGAGTTTTCTCAAACTCTGTTTTCTTTTCTGTTGACCTTGGAGAAAGAAGTAAATAGGAAATCAAGTATAATCCACTCTCCCCTGGTCACTCATATTTATGGTAACTCTTCTGGATTCTTCAGTGAAGACTTTTCACCAAAGGGACACCAAGATATACCATGTGATGGAATTGTAGCCAAATCTACTAAGCAGTTAAACCAAGCAAATACAGTGAGGACAGCAGTATTTGCTATGCAAATTGGGCAACTTTTGACACCATCCCGCCTCTGCAGCCCGCAAAGGCGGGAGGCAGCCTTTGCTAGAATGCAGGGCCCTTTCTCAGGCCTCTAGGCTTCTGCTGCTATGATTCCCCTCCCCCACCACACTGGGCCTTTGAAACCTGGTCATCTTGCTGTGTTCTCTTGCCCGTCTTCTCTGGGCCTTTGAGTGCACCTGTTTTTTTCTTAGTCTGACTATTCATATGGTGAAAGGGTATTTATCTGTCACTCAAAAAATGCTTTGTTTGTTAGCATGGGAAAGGACTGGCTTCTGGGGCCCGTCTTAGGGGAGACAATTATTCTCAGGGGCAAAGCAAGCTGTGGTCTCAAGGTGCTTCCAGTTCCTTGACCTAAAGCAGCATCCTAGCTACAGAAGATAGTGTAGCTTTATCTGTGCCCTTCTTGTTCCTTAGTGTTTTTGCTTTTGACTTGCTACTGCCCACTGTAGGGAGATAATTTGACACGACTACCTAGAATTCCCATTAGAAACCTTTGCACTTTTCTTAGTCTCCCAAGTGTGCCTGTCTTCTCCTGCTGGGATTCCCAACTCAGGAGAGTGTGAACCTCTATCTTAGTGGACATCCTTAGTATTCTCTAGAGACACAGATTCCCAGCCCGGTGGAAAAGTTATAAGAAGTCTAATTGTAAGGTAAAGAGACTGCTTTTTAAACATGCTTATTAGGTCGTCTTATTTTTTCCAATACTGTTTACCACTAAGACTGTAGATGGTAGGTATTGGGTTTGTTATCTTGCCTCTGGCCTGTGGTATACCTGAGTAGGGTCAAAACCAGGGTTTGCCCCCGAAGAATGGAACAGATGTGTCCATTTCATTATATGGTCCTAGAAGTTTTCTGGGCTATGCGTTGAGGCAGATGCTGGACACAAATCATAAAGAGTATTTTAGAATTGGAATGGGGAGATGGAGAGTGGGAGAGGTAGGAGAACAAAGAAGGGGAGACTGTGACACAGGACTTTTCTCAGCCTTTTCGCTGGACTCACAGCAGTGGTGCCCCATCTACTTGGCCCGCTGTGGTCAGCTGAGTGGGAGCACATGAGAGAGTGAGTGCAGGGTTTGGTCGGCCACTCCAGGTGCTGATACAGGAGCAATCTCCATGCAGGGCTCATGGCCAGTCCAGGCATGTCACCCCAAGGGGAATGGGGCAGTGCCCTGGTGAGGGTGCCTGGGACCCTGAAGCCCCAGAGGGGGTGTTAGGGTGCTAATTAGTGTTTTTAGCTCTGCCATCTGCAGCCCAATGAACAGCAGAGTGTCCTGGCTTTGTCACATGGGGCAGCTGCCCTCCACTGGTGAAGGCAAAGGGCCAATGACACAGCCTTTCTGGGTACCCATGCTCGGTGAGTCCCAAGCTCTTGTCCAGCGTCTGAGAAGAATGAGGTCACACTGATGATTGATTGAAGAGTGATGAAAGCAGAGAATTTTATTGAGCAAAGAAAACAGCTCTCAGCAAAGAGGGGAGCTGAAAAAGGGACAGAAAGTTCAGGTCGTCTTTCCTGAAGTCAGGTTGTCTCTTCCCTGAAGTCAGGTCATCTCTTCCCCAAATTCAGGTTATCTCTGTCTCTACTGACTGAGGCTGATGTTTTTATAGGCACAGGATAGGGGCACGGCAGGCCATAGGTAGTATTGGAAAAGGCAACATTTGATTGGTTGAAAGGCATTATTCAGAAAGACCCACTTGGGAGAGAGTGGGAAAAAAACAGGAATAGAAGTTCTCACTCTGGGCTGTGGGTTTCAGGCTGGTTTTGGCTTGAAGGTGGGGTTTCACTGGGGACCCAACCCTGTTTGGCTAGGATTTCTCTGCCTCCTGCCTCTATTAACTGGACCACAGCAAACAGTTGCCACGATGACACTATAAACTCTCTCTGACAGCATCTTTGGGGTTCATCATCACTTTTCCCAGGCAGGGCTGTGCCTGCTGGGCAGCAACCAGCTGCTGCTGAGAACACTTTGGGAATTTGTTCTTTATAAGCACATATGGCACAGTTTTTTTTTGTGTATCCTAATGATGGTAAATCCAGCACCTTTGATGGGAAGCAAAATAATGAGGAGTCAAGTTTGGAGAACCAGGTGTGAAGTCAAACTGGCAAGAAGTCAAGTCAGGTAACTCTTTCAAGCCTAGCACAAAACAGTGCTGTAAAGCCATCAGCAGACTTTCTGTGTGACTTGTGAGAGGGTTCTGAAGATGTCCCCCAAAGAGGAGAACACTAAGTATTTGGATGCATGAGGATTGTTGGGAATAGCTTCCCAAGGCTCGGAACTCTTAAGGAAAGCTTCCATTTGTTTATGTAAGTTCCAGTGATGGGGGAGAAGACACCCTCGTTATTTTTGAAGTCTCACAGTGTGGAAACAAATACTTTCTTGCAGTTCTTTTCCTTCCTCTGACCTGTTCAGCGTATTGTGCTCTGAAAAGACAGGCAGCCGGAAGGAAGATGTCAGAGAAGCAGCCAGAGGGTTTGGCATCCACAGCTGACTAGACCTGTGCCGCCTTCCATCTCCCAATGCGACAGTGCCAATGCCCTCCACCGGTGGCACGCAAACTGTGCTCTGACTCTTTCCTGCAAGGAGCAGTTGCCTCCAGCAACTTACATGCTTCCTCTTGTAATCTTCCACTAGTGACAGGCACCTCTGAGACAGCTTGCCAGGGCTGGGGGGCTGCTCTATGTGGAAAAATCCATCAGCATGGAATACCTAGGAGCCTCTGAGCTCTTTTTCTCTCCAGGGCAGAAAAGCATAACTGTGCTGGTTTCCATGGTGTTTCTGTCAGCCGTGGCCATCCCCTCCCCCCTGCTCCCATCTGTGTGGCCTGTGAGAGTACATCTCTGGCCAGCTGGATGTGTGAGATATATCTGGAAACAAATCTGCCACATAATGTTTTTTTTTTTTTTTTTTTTTTTTTTTTTGACAGTGCTTTGACGATAGTTGCCCTCTATATACTTAGCTTAAAAGATCAAGACCGACGTGTCCCAAATCTCCCTCCAAGGTGAGAGTTCAGTTCAATTTTCTGGCCTAAAATTCCTTTGGAGAGAAGGATTTTTGCAGCCCTCTTTCATTAAT
Organism: Homo sapiens; assembly: GCF_000001405.40. NCBI lineage: Eukaryota > Metazoa > Chordata > Mammalia > Primates > Hominidae > Homo > Homo sapiens. Next base: position 69,936,262 of record NC_000012.12, read on the forward strand.
CATTTCATTCTTTTTCTCCAGCAATATCACAAGCTCACAGGAGCCAGCTCTGCTGCCCACAGCCTCCTCCTCAGGTAAAGGCTTCACATTCCTCACCCTCAAACCCGGTTTCAAGTGAACTGTTAACAGAAGAAACCAGCCTTTCAGGTTAACCTTCTTGCTTCCCCTCCCCCCTGCCCAATGCCTTGCAGCACCTAATACATCCCTGGTAACCACACCGGCCTCCTTACAAGTACCTGAAATTACTTTCTGTGAAATCCTGCCGTGTCAGGAGACTTATTGCTGCCCCATCCGGGGAATGAAAGAAGTCTCTTCAAGTCCTGTGCAAAGACAATCTGAGGAGAAGGAATTCCATCAGAGGCGATGGTCAGGTAAATGATGTTCAAAGAGAAACAACTAGAGCTTTGAACTTGAGGTTGTTTTTCTTGTCACAATTTACTTAGATGGTCATTAATGGTTCCAGATAATGGTTCCATGCTTCTATTTGGGGTGGCAAAATCTTTAAAACACAAATACACAACTGCCAATCATCTGTAATATTGAGTTCCTTGCCCAGGAATGAAATTTTGGTTGATTCAAGTACTTATAATTTTCACCAAGTGAAAGGTTCTCATTTGTCCATTGCCAACAAGGATAGTAATAGTAGCACAAGCGAAGTAATTACATGCACGTGGGTGGATTTTTTGGGCTCATTTAGAGTTTAAAAAATGATGTGGTATCTGGGCTCTCTGCCTAAACTGACTAGGGCAAAATGTAAGAGACTTTGGAAACTCTAATTTAGAGTTCAGGGTGAGATTTAAGGCAGTGAAAAACACAAGACTGGCATTCCACTTTCAGAATAACTTTCCTCTTCCTCCTAGGGACACACACACACATACATACATACCAATGTTATTCAAGTAACACAATTTTCATGGTAAAAAAAAGTATAGAAACTTAATCAAGGGCTGCAAGTGTAATCATATCCATAAGATTACATACAAGTCTTCCAAATGTATACTAATTTATTATTGTTTTTAGAAATTTTATTCTATATATACATATTAATAAATAGTAATATTAATGATGATGCTAATAAGGATACATATTACTATGGCTTATTGATTAGGATACTGTCATAACAACAACTCTTAAATAACAGTGGCTTCTTTATGGCAACAATTTAATTCTGAGTCACTCTATATATTAAATGTGAATCAAAAGACAGTTCTTGGTCATCATGTCATTTAAAGTCCAGCTGATGAAGATTCCATCACAATAATTATTTCCACAGTCTCCGTAGTAGTGGTAAAAGAACAAGGCAAATTATGTTCCGACTCTTAAAGCTTCCACCTATGTATAACACATATCACCTCTGCTTATACTTCATTGGCCAAAGCAAGTCACGTCACATTGGTCATGTCTAATTTTTAAACGGATGGGGAAGAACAGATCTAACATGTATGGAGAAGATGAACCAGAATACTTATAAGTGGTGCTCATGACCTACATAGAATATGGTCAGTGGTTGAAATGTTGGGGTGCAATGTAATTTCCTTTCCCTTTTGACATTATTGCATATCCTAGTCTTGGTTAAATAACTTTTACAAATTGTCATCATCATCATGATTATCATGTTGTAATGAGGTATTACTCTACGCTAGGTACTGTCATAAGTAGTTTACATGAGTAAATCATTTAATCTTCACAAGCCTACAAACGAGGTGCTTTTATTATCCCAATTTTTTTTTCCAGTGGGGAAGCTGAGACACAGAGAGTTCTTTCACTACAGCAATAGGAGACAATGAGCTTTTCTCATGAAAACTATTTTTGATTGAACTTAGGAGCAGATGCATCACTATGGAGTAGAACTAAAAACTTCATTTTAAAGAAAGGAATTCATTTCAGTCATCTTATTCTCAATATTTTTAAATATGAAAAAATCTAGAACTATCACAGAAATCCCCAAGGCTTTTATCCCTTGTGAAAGCACATGGAACCTTGTGGCTGGTAAACACTTTTCTTACTTTGGGAGCCCATGCTGGAGACACTTGATGTTCTTTTCTCAAAGCAGTCCTCAGAAGAGACCATCTCACCTATGAGAGATGTACTAATAACAGATCCTGAATAGGAAGAGGTCGTAGACTGGTCCACTCTTCATTTTCAAGGGTTTCTTGACCTCTGAACAAGTTCATTCCTGAAGTAACCAGCTGTTCACATCAAGGGAATATAGTCATGTGCCACATAATGATGTTTCAGTCAACAATGGACCATATATACACTAGTGGCCCCATAAGATAATAATTGAGCTGAAAAATTATTATTGCCTGGTGATGTCTTGATGATCCTGACCTTGTACAGGCCAGGCTAATGTGTATATTTGCACTTTAGTTTTTAATGAAAAGGTTTAAAAGTAAAAAAAAATTTTAAATAAAAAAAGCTTATAAAATAAAGATATAGGAATAGGAACAGCTCCGGTCTACAGCTCCCAGCCTGAGCGATGCAGAAGACGGGTGATTTCTGCATTTCCCTCTGAGGTACCGGGTTCATCTCACTAGGGAGTGCCAGACAGTGGGCGCAGGTCAGTGGGTGCGCGCACCGTGCGCGAGCCGAAGCAGGGCGAGGCATTGCCTCACCCGGGAAGCGCAGGGTTCAGGGAGTTCCCTTTCCTAATCAAAGAAAGGGGTGACGGATGGCACCTGGAAAATCGGGTCACTCCCACCCGAATACTGCGCATTTCCGACGGGCTTAAAAAATGGCGCACCACGAGATTATATCCCGCACCTGGCTCGGAGGGTCCTACCCCATGGAGTCTCGCTGATTGCTAGCACAGCAGTCTGAGATCAAACTGCAAGGCGGCAGCGAGGCTGGGGGAGGGGCGCCCACCATTGCCCAGGCTTGCTTAGGTAAACAAAGCAACCAGGAAGCTCGAACTGGGTGGAGCCCACCACAGCTCAAGGAGGCCTGCCTGCCTGTGTAGGCTCCACCTCTGGGGGCAGGGCACAGACAAACAAAAAGACAGCAGTAACCTCTGCAGACTTAAATGTCCCTGTCTGACAGCTTTGAAGAGAGCAGTGGTTCTCCCAGCACGCAGCTGGAGATCTGAGAACGGGCAGACTGCCTCCTCAAGTGGGTCCCTGACCCCTGACCCCCGAGCAGCCTAACTGGGAGGCACCCTCCAGCAGGGGCACACTGACACCTCACACGGCAGGGTACTCCAACAGACCTGCAGCTGAGGGTCCTGTCTGTTAGAAGGAAAACTAACAAACAGAAAGGACATCCACACCAAAAACCCATCTGTACATCACCATCATCAAAGACCAAAAGTAGAAAAAAACCACAAAGATGGGGAAAAAACAGAACAGAAAAACTGGAAACTCTAAAAATCAGAGCGCCTCTCCTCCTCCAAAGGAACACAGTTCCTCACCAGCAACGGAACAAAGCTGGACGGAGAATGACTTTGACGAGCTGAGAGAAGAAGGCTTCAGACGATCAAATTACTCTGAGCTACGGGAGGACATTCAAACCAAAGGCAAAGAAGTTGAAAACTTTGAAAAAAATTTAGAAGAATGTATGACTAGAATAACCAATACAGAGAAGTGCTTAAAGGAGCTGATGGAGCTGAAAACCAAGGTTCGAGAACTACGTGAAGAATGCAGAAGCCTCAGGAGCCGATGCGATCAACTGGAAGAAAGGGTATCAGCAATGGAAGATGAAATGGATGAAATGAATGAAATGAAGTGAGAAGGAAAGTTTAGAGAAAAAAGAATAAAAAGAAATGAGCAAAGCCTCCAAGAAATATGGGACTATGTGAAAAGACCAAATCTACGTCTGACTGGTGTACCTGAAAGTGATGGGGAGAATGGAACCAAGTTGGAAAACACTCTGCAGGATATTACCCAGGAGAATTTCCCCAATCTAGCAAGGCAGGCCAACGTTCAGATTCAGGAACTACAGAGAACACCACAAAGATACTCCTCGAGAAGAGCAACTCCAAGACACATAATTGTCAGATTCACCAAAGTTGAAATGAAGGAAAAAATGTTAAGGGCAGCCAGAGAGAAAGGTCGGGTTACCCTCAAAGGGAAGCCCATCAGACTAACAGCGGATCTCTCGGCAGAAACACTACAAGCCAGAAGAGAGTGGGGGCCAATATTCAACATTCTTAAAGAAAATAATTTTCAACCCAGAATTTCATATCCAGCCAAACTAAGCTTCATAAGTGAAGGAGAAATAAAATACTTTACAGACAAGCAAATGCTGAGAGATTTTGTCACCACCAGGCCTGCCCTAAAAGAGCTCCTGAAGGAAGTGCTAAACATGGAAAGGAACAACCGGTACCAGCCACTGCAAAATCATCGAGGCTAGGAAGAAACTGCATCAACTAACGAGCAAAATAACCAGCTAACATCATAATGACAGGATCAAATTCATACATAACACTATTAACTTTAAATGTAAATGGACTAAATGCTCCAATTAAAAGACACAGACTGGCAAATTGGATAAAGAGTCAAGACCCATCAGTGTGCTGTATTCAGGAAACCCATCTCATGTGCAGAGACACACATAGGCTCAAAATAAAAGGATGGAGGAAGATCTACCAAGCAAATGGAAAACAAAAAAAGGCAGGGGTTGCAATCCTAGTCTCTGATAAAACAGACTTTAAACCAACAAAGATCAAAAGAGACAAAGAAGGCCATTACATAATGGTAAAGGGATCAATTCAACAAGAAGAGCTAACTATCCTAAATATATATGCACCCAATACAGGAGCACCCAGATTCATAAAGCAAGTCCTGAGTGACCTACAAAGAGACTTAGACTCCCACATATTAATAATGGGAGACTTTAACACCCCACTGTCAACATTAGACAGATCAATGAGACAGAAAGTCAACAAGGATACCCAGGAATTGAACTCAGCTCTGCACCAAGCGGACCTCATAGACATCTACAGAACTCTCCACCCCAAATCAACAGAATATACATTTTTTTCAGCACCACACCACACCTATTCCAAAATTGACCACATAGTTGGAAGTAAAGCTCTCCTCAGCAAATGTAAAAGAACACAAATTATAACAAACTATCTCTCAGACCACAGTGCAATCAAACTAGAACTCAGGATTAAGAATCTCACTCAAAACCGCTCAACTACATGGAAACTGAACAACCTGCTCCTGAATGACTACTGGGTACATAACGAAATGAAGGCAGAAATAAAGATGTTCTTTGAAACCAACGAGAACAAAGACACAACATACCAGAATCTCTGGGACGCATTCAAAGCAGTGTGTAGAGGGAAATTTATAGCACTAAATGCCCACAAGAGAAAGCAGGAAAGATCCAAAATTGACACCCTAACATCACAATTAAAAGAACTAGAAAAGCAAGAGCAAACACATTCAAAAGCTAGCAGAAGGCAAGAAATAACTGAAATCAGAGCAGAACTGAAGGAAATAGAGACACAAAAAACCCTTCAAAAAATTAATGAATCCAGGAGCTGGTTTTTTGAAAGGATCAACAAAATTGATAGACCGCTAGCAAGACTAATAAAGAAAAAAAGACAGAAGAATCAAATAGATGCAATAAAAAATGATAAAGGGGATATCACCACCGATCCCACAGAAATACAAACTACCATCAGAGAATACTACAAACACCTCTACGCAAATAAACTAGAAAATCTAGAAGAAATGGATAAATTCCTGGACACATACACTCTCCCAAGACTAAACCAGGAAGAAGCTGAATCTCTGAATAGACCAATAACAGGATCTGAAATTGTGGCAATAATCAATAGCTTACCAACCAAAAAGAGTCCAGGACCAGATGGATTCACAGCCGAATTCTACCAGAGGTACAAGGAGGAACTGGTACCATTCCTTCTGAAACTATTCCAATCAATAGAAAAAGAGGGAATCCTCCCTAACTCATTTTATGAGGCCAGCATCATTCTGATACCAAAGCCGGGCAGAGACACAACCAAAAAAGAGAATTTTAGACCAATATCCTTGATGAACACTGATGCAAAAATCCTCAATAAAATACTGGCAAACCGAATCCAGCAGCACATCAAAAAGCTTATCCACCATGATCAAGTGGGCTTCATCCCTGGGATGCAAGGCTGGTTCAATATATGCAAATCAATAAATGTAATCCAGCATATAAACAGAGCCAAAGACAAAAACCACATGATTATCTCAATAGATGCAGAAAAGGCCTTTGACAAAATTCAACAACTTTTCATGCTAAAAACTCTCAATAAATTAGGTATTGATGGGACATATTTCAAAATAATAAGAGCTATCTATGACAAACCCGCAGCCAATATCATACTGAATGGGCAAAAACTGGAAGCATTCCCTTTGAAAACTGGCACAAGACAGGGATGCCCTCTCTCACCAGTCCTATTCAACATAGTGTTGGAAGTTCTGGCCAGGGCAATTAGGCAGGAGAAGGAAATAAAGGGTATTCAAATAGGAAAAGAGGAAGTCAAATTGTCCCTGTTTGCAGATGACATGATTGTATATCTAGAAAACCCCATTGTCTCAGCCCAAAATCTCCTTAAGCTGATAAGCAACTTCAGCAAAGTCTCAGGCTACAAAATCAATGTGCAAAAATCACAAGTATTCCTATACACCAACAACAGACAAACAGCCAAATCATGAGTGAACTCCCATTCACAATTGCTTCAAAGAGAATAAAATACCTAGGAATCCAACTTACAAGGGATGTGAAGGACCTCTTCAAGAAGAACTACAAACCGCTGCTCAAGGAAATAAAAGAGTATACAAACAAATGGAAGAACATTCCATGCTCATGGATAGGAAGAATCAATATCATGAAAATGGCCATACTGCCCAGGGTAATTTACAGATTCAATGCCATCCCCATCAAGCTACCAATGCCTTTCTTCACAGAATTGGAAAAAACTACTTTAAAGTTCATATGGAACGAAAAAACAGCCCGCATCGCCAAGTTAATCCTAAGCCAAAAGAACAAAGCTGGAGGCATCACACTACCTGACTTCAAACTATACTACAAGGCTACAGTAACCAAAACAGCATGGTACTGGTACCAAAACAGAGATATAGATCAATGGAACAGAACAGAGCCCTCAGAAATAACGCCGCATATCTACAACTATCTGATCTTTGACAAACCTGACAAAAACAAGCAATGGGGAAAGGATTCCCTATTTAATAAATGGTGCTGGGAAAACTGGCTAGCCATATGTAGAAAGCTGAAACTGGATCCCTTCCTTACACCTTATACAAAAATCAATTCAAGATGGATTAAAGACTTACATGTTAGACCTAAAACCATAAAAACCCTAGAAGAAAACCTAGGCATTGCCATTCAGGACATAGGCATGGGCAAGGACTTCATGTCTAAAACACCAAAAGCAATGGCAACAAAAGCCAAAATTGACAAATGGGATCTAATTAAACTAAAGAGCTTCTGCACAGCAAAAGAAACTACCATCAGAGTGAACAGGCAACCTACAAAATGGGAGAAAATTTTTGCAACCTACTCATCTGACAAAGGGCTAATATCCAGAATCTACAATGAACTCAAACACATTTACAAGAAAAAAACAAACAGCCCCATCAAAAAGTGGATGAAGGACATGAACAGACACTTCTCAAAAGAAGACATTTATGCAGCCAAAAAACACATGAAAAAATGCTCATCATCACTGGCCATCAGAGAAATGCAAATCAAAACCACAATGAGATACCATCTCACACCAGTTAGAATGGCAATCATTAAAAAGTCAGGAAGCAACAGGTGCTGGAGAGGATGTGGAGAAATAGGAACACTTTTACACTGTTGGTGGGACTGTAAACTAGTTCAACCCTTGTGGAAGTCAGTGAGGCGATTCCTCAGGGATCTAGAACTAGAAATACCATTTGACCCAGCCATCCCATTACTGGGTATATACCCAAAGGACTATAAATCATGCTGCTATAAAGACACATGCACACGTATGTTTATTGCGGCATTATTCACAATAGCAAAGACTTGGAACCAACCCAAATGTCCAACAATGATAGACTGGATTAAGAAAATGTGGCACATATACACCATGGAATACTATGCAGCCATAAAAAATGATGAGTTCATGTCCTTTGTAGGGACATGGATGAAATTGGAAATCATCATTCTCAGTAAACTATCGCAAGAACAAAAAACCAAACACCACATATTCTCACTCATAGGTGGGAATTGAACAATGAGAACACATGGACACAGGAAGGGGAACATCACACTCTGAGGACTGTTGTGGGGTTGGGGGAGGGGGGAGGGATAGCATTGGGAGATATACCTAAGGCTAGATGACGAGTTAGTGGGTGCAGCACACCAGCATGGCACATGTATACGTATGTTACTAACCTGCACAATGTGCACATGTACCCTAAAACTTAAAGTATAATAATAAAAGAAAAAAAAAGAAAAGACAAATATTTAAAGTAATGGATATCCCTTGGGCTAGGGGAGGGATAGCATTAGGAGAAATACCTAATGTAGATGACGGGTTGATGGGTGCAGCAAACCACCAAGGCGTGTGTATACCTATGTAACACACCTGCACGTTCTGCACATGTATCCTACAACTTGAAGTATAATTTTAAAAAAGTGATGGATATCCCAAGTTACACTAATATGACCTTTATACATTATATGACTGTATTAAATTACCATGATGTACATTCACTACTCATTAATACAAATTTTTTTAACGAAAATAAAATAGATATTTAAAATGTGAAAAAAAATTAAAATAAAGATATAAAGAAAGAAAATATCTTTGTACAGCTGTACAATGTGTTTGTGTTTTAAGCTAAGTGTTATTACAAGAGTCAAAAAGTTTTTTAAAATTTAGAAGTTTATAAAGTAAAAAAGTTATAGCAAGCTAAGGTTAATTAGAAGAAAGAAAATTTTAAAAATAAATTTAGTATAGCCTAAATATATGGTGTTTATAAAGTTTACAGTAGTGTCCCAGGCCTTCAGATTCACTCACCGCTCACTCACTGATTGACTCAGAGCAACTTCCAGCCCTGTAAGCTCCATTCATGGTAAATTCCCTACACAGGTGGACTAGTTTTTGTCTTTTATACTTTATTTTTTACTGTACCCTTTCTACATTTAGAAATATTTAGATACACAAATACTTACCATTGTGTTACAATTGCCAACAGTATTTACAGTAACATGCTGTACAGGTTTGCAGCCAAGAAGCAATATAGCCTAGGTGTGTAGTAGGCTATACAATCTAGGTTTGTGAAGTACACTTTGTGATGTTTGTACAACAGTGAAATTGCCTAATGACATATTTCACAGCATCATGTAGTTAAGCAATGCATGACTGTATTGGGAAGAATAGCCCTTATTAAACCAGATCAAGGCTCGTTGCTCTCTGTGACAATACAGAATTTTCATGTTAAAAAAATTATAGGCTGGGCGCGGTGGCTCACGCCTGTAATCCCAGCACTTTGGGAGGCCGAGGCGGGCGGATCACGAGGTCAGGAGATCGAGACCATCCTGGCTAAAACGGTGAAACCCCGTCTCTACTAAAAATACAAAAAATTAGCCGGGCGTAGTGGCGGGCGCCTGTAGTCCCAGCTACTTGGGAGGCTGAGGCAGGAGAATGGCGTGAACCCGGGAGGCGGAGCTTGCAGTGAGCCGAGATCCCGCCACTGCCCTCCAGCCTGGGCGACAGAGCGAGACTCCGTCTCAAAAAAAAAAAAAAAAAAAAAAAAAAAATTATAGAAACTTAATCAAGGGCTACAAGTGTAATCATGTCCATAAGATTATATACAATTCTTCCAAATGTATACTAATTTATTATTGTTTTTAGAAATGTTCCCCTAAAAGCAGTAGCCTAGAAACAAGATGAGTGTCTGCTCATCTTGTTTCTATAGCTATGTAAACTTCTAAAGAAAGAAGTGATTCCCAAGGAAAGAAAATTTGCTCCATGGTGCCAGGCTGTGTCCACCTAGACAGAACTAACTGCTTCTTTGACTACAAATGAAATTTATGTTGTGCCTTACTAGGCTCTGTGATACACTGGGAAAGTTGTTATCTCTTCCTTTTGTCAACTGGAGAAAAATGGAAAGAATTCAAATGTTTGATTCACTTTTGTCTTCAGAAAACCCAAAAACTTTTGGAAATTTAGTCACAGAATCTCAGAGAACAGCTACGCAAGTGGCACCTGACTTTTTGGCCCCGAGAATCCACTATAAGCCTACTTTTACAATGATGTGATTGAGAAAATACATAAAGAACAAATGTAACTATAAGTTCAGTTAAGCTTTTAACTGAATTGTTTTTATTACTCCAACAGTGGCGTTTGAAAAATAGTACAAATCTATAGGAGATATGTTGCTTTTCAAGTCTACAGACAACACCACAGACCCCTTTATGCAATCACCCAAGGTTCCAAGGACCCCATGTCAGGAGAACTGCTGATTTATACCAAATTACCCATTTTGCAGCTGATGAAATGGAGGCACTGGACCTTGCTTAAGATTCCTCAGTTGAGTTTCTAGAAAAGTTGGAATTGAAATCTGGGTCCCCCACTTCCCTGTCCTGGATTCCTTCCCATTTGCTATCCTGCCTCCATTGATTTGGACATGGGCTGTGCATGTACCTGAGATCAACTCTAGAAGGTGCAGAAAGTATCCACTCTATGGCCCCTTCTGCCTCCTCCTGGCAAGTTTGCCTCTGTCCATTGCAATGTCCCTGATGTGGGATATTTTGGAGTCTGAGCAAAGCCTCTTCTCTTCTGCTGCTGGTTTACTCTTCCCCTCTGTTCAAGGTACTGTATAACACCAGGCTTCTAAATACAAAAGAGGAGAAGTCTAGGAAAGTATTCTTTTCAGCCAGATGTTTCTAAAGCATTAAAGACCAATTAAAAATTAAGGAATAAAAATAAAAAAGAAATTCAAGAGTAACAAAAAAAACTTAGAAAAGCTCTCAGTGGGATGCAGAGTAATATCTAACAGTTTACTAAACCCCTAAACACATTTATGAGCCTCCTCCCTGAGGAGTAAGACTATAATAAAATAAGTGAAGGGAAATCAACATTTTTATGACATGCTGAGCTCATGTCATTATTCTTCTTTTGGGCCAAAGTTGATCATATCTGTGTAAAGTGTCTTTCAGAAAGGTTATCTCTCCCTCTCCCCCTCACTTAATAAAAAGTTTGGGTAAGGCTAATCAGGAAGTGGAAAGTGAGTATTTTGGAATATTGAGCTTCTACTCTAAGGAACCATCTGAATGTGATGAATTAGATTTTAATCCATGGAACCAGTAAAGATTTAAGTAGACAGGAGAGTTAGATATTAAAAAGTAAAGAGCCTGTGGAGAAAAGCATCTATGGAATTCTATAGAATATATTAGAGTTGGTGAAGATTTTTTAAAAATCTGGAATTCATGCTCATTTTGTTTTGGAGACCATGACTCTGAGAAAAGTGAATGGCCAGAAGAAAATGGTCCCCCATTTTAAAGAACTCAGCCATCGACTGGTGGGGCTCATTGGCTTCTTCATAGTGCATGAGTCTGGTTCAGTGAAGGGAAGAGAAATGTATCCAAGATGCTGTACTGGACTCAGCCAGTACAAGTACAACACAGTCTTACAAGTAGTGCAATATACACCTTCTACCATGACAGGAGTATGCTTTTTTTGGGCACCATCCTAAATCTTTACTCTCCAGAAGTTTCTAATTTAGTTTGTTGGGAGAGCTCATCTACCAATTGTGAAATATATCTCCAACTTTATAATGAAAACTGCAGGGGATGTACTATATGAAGCTTATAATGAATATCACTGGAAGGCATTTGTAAAATGAGATCAACCCTAGAAGGTGCTGAAAGTATGACTTTATGACTTCCTGTATGACTACTGGAAGATTTATGGGTTTCTTATAACCAGCCTTTCAGAGTCAAATAGTCTTGTTTCAGAGAAGTGTCAAATGGAAGGTGTTTTATGGGAGATTTAAATCTTATTTCTTGCGTTTGAAAAATCATTTTTATAATTCTGATCTGCAAGATTATCTTTCCTCATTCCCACCTATTTATTGCTGTTTTTTAAAAAAAACCTTACCCCACCAGGTACTCAATTGTATTCATAGGGTTCTATGTCTCCAGGACCTGAAAACACAGTTCTGTGGAAGAAGACAAATCTGTAGTTCTGTTGCCAGAATTTATAACGAGCTCTTTTTCTGCAAATTCAGCAGGCAAGTAGGACAAAAGGTAGGAGAAGAAAACACACAGGATAGAGAAGTCCTGGTTTCCACTTCTCTTTATGCCTCATTTGCGTTGTAAATTTACAACCTTCTGTGGAAGCAGTCTTAAGCAAAACTAATAGTAGAGACGTGTTTGAAAATTATTACTGGAATAGCTAGAATCCAAGAAATCTGGAGGACTTTTTGGCAGCATATGTGTTTACTTGTAAAGGAAAATAAATATTCAATTTTCTAGAAACTCCTCATATATCAGGACCCATTTCTTCTTAATGGAAAGCACCATGTTGGGTTCAGAAACTTGCCCTGCCTTCCAGTTCTGTCTTGCTTCCTTTTGCTAATAGAATAAGGAGTCTAGCTTCCCATGTTCTTTCTCAGCATCCCTCTGCACCCTTCCCCTGGGAACTTTCCCTGTGAATGTGTAAGAGGAAAGTTTTTTGGAGGTTAAATTGGTCTTCCCTCTTCTTTTCCTTACTCTTTCCCTGGCTCTCTTCCTTCCATCCTTTCACCCATATTCATTGAGCACCACTGTGAGCCCAGCATTACCCTATCTGGGATACAACAGTGAACAGGATGTAGTCTTCAAGGAGCTCACAGTTAGGTGAATGGGTAAGTAAACTAGTCATTCCACCTAGTGAAAGGAGTTGTAACCAGGATAGGGATGTTTAGGAGTGATTGTCCCCAAGTATTGTGTACTGTTGCTTTTGCTTTCTATCCTGAAACTTGAACATAGATCTAAATCTGCAAATTAAAAAAAAAAAAAAGACTGCCAAAACTTCATAAAGTTATTTTGTTAGGTGTACTTAGCGACCCACTAAATGATTGCTTTCACTATCTACTTTAAAAAGATACATTAAAAATATAGCCTTAACAACATTCATCTGAATGGTTACCTTTCCAAAATTGCATTTAAAATGCCTTTTGGGTGATGACAGGAGCCTAGCCACTCCCTGGGCTCCCTCCCTGCAAGCCTGCTCTGGCCCCACACCAGCAGCCTGATTCCTCCCTTCAGCTGGCTGCATCTCAGGCCTTACTTTAGACCAAGCTTGTCCAACCCGCGGCCCATGGGCCGGCCACATGCGGCCCAGGACGGCTTTGAATGTGGCCCAGCACAAATTTGTAAACTTTCTTAAAACATTATGAGATTTTTTTTTTGTAATTTTTTTTTTTTTTAGCCCTTCAGCTATCATTAGTGTTAGTGTATTTTATGTGTGGCCCAAGACAATTCTTCTTCCAGTGTGGCCTAGGGAAGCCAGAAGACTGGACACCCCTGCCTTAGACTTTAAGCTCAATTTTTTTCCTACATGGATCACATTTCACATTTTCCCAGAATAGCAAAATTGTGGACTCTGGAATTAGATGGTTTGAATTGGAAACTCTTTATTCCTATCCACAAGCTGAGTCCTTAGTGCCTCACTTAGCTTATCTGTCAAGCGGGGATAACCTCACTCTTGGACTTTTGTAAGGCACTCAGAACAATGTTCAATGAAGAGTAGGTGTTAACAAATAGTAGGTGTAATTATCATTGTTATCCTTCAGTGCAAAAATATATGTCCCACAGAATTTCCTCTAACATTTCATGTTCAAGTTATTAAGCAATTGGGAAAGCATGCTCAATTTTTTTTTTTATAAGTTTTGCTTATCTTTAGAGACCACAAACTCTACTTGTATGAAGAAGGTTAACGTTTCATTATTTTACTGTAGGGATAGTTTTGCTCCTATTTTTCTTCATTTTTACCCACTCTCTCCACTGCCCTTGGACCTATTCTCTATTTTAACAGGATATGTTAAGCAGCAGAGAGGTCACAGAAGTAGGCAGGGTTGAAAAATCAATAGGGACCAATATACATTTGATGCTAGGCCGTGGTGCTACCTGGACTCAACTCTAAAGGGATTATTCTATGAAACAGTCCATCTCCTATCTCCATGCTTTCTCCTGGGATCTCCAGGAGTAGTTCTTTCTCCTTGCTAGTGTCCAAATGTTATATTTTTTCATAGCCTTTGCTTTCACTCAGAAAAATAAATATGACTAATGAGTATGTCCCTACTCCTTTGCAACTTCATATGAGCCAGGCTTCAGTTGAGCAGAGAAGTTGACTTTAGGGCCTGTTATACTCACTCGAGAAGTAGTATCAGGATCAAAAGAAGATCAACAGGAAGGCAGATGCTAGCTCAGTAGAAGGGAAAACTGGTATTTAGCATTGCCCAGCAGAAGAATGGGCAGTGAGTCCCTTGTCACTGGAGGTGTTCAAACAGAGATTCCTTGGTTATTTATTTCTTTTTTTACATTAGCGTGTGTGATTCTGAGATAGCAATACTAAGATGGATAAAAAAGAATCCAGATAATCTAAAGATAATAATTTCAATTAACAATGTTCATTCACAAACTAGATAGGAAATAAAACTATCATTAGCTTGTCATTAATCAAAGAAAGACAGTTTCCATAGATTGAGCAAGACATTATGGCAGGGGTTACAGAGGATTCAAAGAATATTAGTAGACATTCCCTATTCTGGAATTGTCAGGAAAGGCAAAAATACATGAAAAGTTAAGTAATAATACAGAGGTAATATGCCCTTCAGTATGGTGACAGATATATCACTGATTGATGACTGCATTGATGGTTCAGTAATAAGTGCTATGGCATTGGAAAGGAGGGATCTGTGAGCTGCAGACCTAGTTGGGGATAGTTTCTTAGTCCACTTTGCCGTCGTAACAGAATACCACTGACTGGGTGGCTTAAACCACAGATAATTATTTTCTCACAGTTCTGGTGGCTGGAAGTCCAAGACCAAGGTGTCAGCAGGTCTGATTTCTTCTGAGGCTTCTCTCCTTGGTCTGCAGATGACTGTCAACTTGCTGTGTCTTCAGATGGTCTTTCCTCTGTGCACACGTAGCCCTAGGGTCTCCCTGTGTGTCCTAACCTGCTTTTTTTTTTTTTTTTTTTTTGAGATGGAGTTTCACTCTTGTTGTCCAGGCTGGAGTGCAATGGCGCAATCTCGGCTCACCACAACCTCCGCCTCCCAGGTTCAAGTGATTCTCCTGCCTCAGCCTCCCGAGTAGCTGGGATTAGAGGCATGCACCACCATGCCTGGCTAATTTTATATTTTTTAGTAGAGACAGGGTTTCACCATGTTGGCCAGGCTGGTCTTGAACTCCCAACCTCAAGTGATCTGCCCGCCTTGGCCTCCCAGAGTGCTGGGATTACAGGCGTGAGCCACCATGCCTGGCTCCTAATCTTCTGCTCTTACACGGACACAGGTCAGATTGTATTAGAACCCACCCTGACAGCCTATTTTTAACTTAATCACTGCTTTAAAGGCCCTATCAACAAACAGTCACATTCTGAGGTACTGGGGGATAAGGCTTCACTATATGCATTTGAATTTGGTAGCTGGGAAGGGGACCCAATTTAGTCCATAACAGATGACTTCTTGCAGAAGGAGGAGAATAAACTAGATCTATAAGAAACAGGATAGAGATTAGATGAGTTGAAGGATGGGAGACAGAAAGGGTGGGGGAACACTCAACTCACAGAGATGAACTAGGTCACACATGGGGTTTCTTCTCTTCTCCTGAACAAGCCTTCAAGATTGACAGACTTGTTTCCTTTTCAGAAGACAAAAGCAAATCAGTTTTGGCAAGAAATGCACTCAGCGGCCCTGACTGGGAGAGTGACTGTAAGTTGACATTTAAGTGACACTATTCTTTGGCTTTGCGGGGCCAGGCCAACTAACAAGTTGTAAAAGCATTGCTGGAGTGAGGAGCAGGGACAAAGGCTGCAGCCTGCCTGCCACGCATATCCATGGGACTGTGTGTTATAATCGATGCCACCCTAACCACTAATGAGGCATTAGAAATGGTCACTCACTGTCAGACAAGTTGTGGTTGATCTCCATGGATGTTCATAATTTATTTGAACTTCCTGACCTCTTCTATTCTGACTACATTTTTAGTTTGTCTTCTGTTTTCTGAAACAGATTGCATTTCATGTTGCACCTCCATTTTCAATAAATTTTGATTTAGTAGGACTTCCATGGTCCAGAAATTCTTTTGAATGTTATAGGGGATGTTTATTGGAGCCTGAGTTTTTATTAGTTTTTCTAATAGGTACTATAACCCCCCAAAAAGCCTTCTCCCCTTCCTTTTCCTCCTGTTTGTTTTCCATTTGAATACAAATGGAATCTCTTGACCTGGGAAACTCTTACTTCCCATTCTGTAATTTGAGGACTGTGGCTGGAATACAATATTCTTTTTCCTTTCAGAAGAGTTTATTTACTTTGTCTATTTCTTCTCAATTCAGGGATTGATACAACCATCAGTTCTATTCAGATTATGGAAATCCAGCAAATAATAGATCATCAGTATTGCATTCAAAGCCTCCAGTGCGGGTAGGTAAGCCTCCCCAGCATGCCCTGGTTGTTTCTGGAATTTACCCATGGCTCTGGGTTTTTAAGACTGCAGTGGAAGCTAAAGCTACATGATAAAATCAATGTGTGCTTACATTGCTCCTTAAGTGAAAACATCTTTATTACATGGTGGGAGAAAGAATCATAAAACAGTTGGTATTAGCAAATGTCAATAAGCCACGGCCCTAGTGATTCCCGTCTCCTGGTTTAATGGATGGGTCCAAAGCAGAAAGCCTAGGGAGCAGCTCTGTTGCTGACTCTCTGAGGGCACATATCAAGGGCACAGAGCTGCCAGTTAATTTTATAGACAAGAAAGACATTGTTGCTCATGGCTCCAAGTTACAAGTGAGGTGACATTTGTATATTTTAATAACAAGGGATATCATTTTAATTGCTGAAAAAATATAACTTAGCTTTTCAGATAGGAGGAAAAAATCAGATATGGCAAAAGTTATCGGGACATCCATCTCCAGTGTATGCCTTATCACCTGTATCAAGGTAATGATACTTCTAGAAGCAGAGGGTGCAAGTTGCTTCAAAGAGTACAGTGTGCCAGTTGTAGGGATTAAGAATGGAGAGGGCTGGGCGTGGTGGCTCACGCCTGTAGTTTCAGCACTTTGGGAGGCTGAGGCAGAAGGACTGCTTGAGCCGAGTTAAAGGTCAAGACCAGCCTGGGCAACATGATGAGATCCTGTCTCTCCAAACAAACAAACAAACAAAATATTAGCTGGGCATGATGGCACACACCTGTGGTCCCAGCTAATTGGTGGGAGGATCTTTTGAGCCCAGGAGGTCGAGGCTGCAGTAAGCTGTGTGTTTGCACCACTGTACTCCAGCCTGGATGACAAAGTGCAACCCGGACACACACACACACACACACACACACACACACACGGAATGGGGGAGTTATTTTTCTTAATTTGATAACTGTTTCTTAGGCACCTCCTAGATTAAAGGCAAGGCCTGTAATCTGAACTAGTGTCACAAATCCTGTGGGTTTTCAGCCTCATTTCTTTTCCAACCTGATATAACCTGGGCTTCAAGTTGATGGCTGTGAGTTATAAAAATAACATGTATGGTGCTTTATGATTTATGACCTCTATGTTCATTATCTCATTGAATTCTCACAAAATCCCCATGAAGTTGGTATAATGTATCCCTGTTTTGTAGTTAAATTTCAGTTAAACTTGAAAAAGTTTGCCTAAGATCACCTATAAGTGGCAGATACAGCTATTAATTAATGTGGTAAGATGACATAGTGAAGAGTCAGATGATTCAAGTTCAAGTCCTAGAACTTCTTTGACAAGATGTTTATTCTCCCCAAATACCAATTTTTCAGCTATAAGATGGGGATACTTTCAAAACTGAGTTGGGTTGCTGTGAAGCATGCAGATAATGGGAGAGACATCTTAGGAAATGCATTCCATTTATCTAAGCTTCCCCTAGTCAAACAAACTGCTCCTGATCCCAATGCAGATCTTTCTATTTTAAAAAGTACATTGATTCACTGAAATAACACTGTTCTCAATTTGGTGTGCAAGTTGCACTCTTATTTTTTTCAGCTGTATTGAGGTATAATTGACAAGCAAAAATTGTTTATATTCAAGATGTATAATGTTTCGTTTTGTTGTAATATACCTATCCAGTGCAAAATGCAAGATCTTTCCATTTCCTTTACTTTTGCTTTTTACCTTTTTAGCAACTTAGTTTAGCATTACTTAAAAATAAAATAACTGACTCTTTTTCCCATCGATCTGATTTTAAATTGTTTTTCCATGTAATTCAAGGGATGGTCAGGTAATAAGGAGAACTTGTTTTAGAGACAATATGTCTTTTTGCTGGAGTTTTTCGTTACAATACGAATCAAAGGAATTTCCCTTTTATCCAAGTATCTCTCTTAAAGGTGTGGGGGGAATCTATGTATAAGCACTTGTCTTGCAATCTTCTCCATTACTAAATGGTAATTAGAATTATAACAATTTTAGCAGATTCAGATTCTAAAAGTACCTGATATTTCCTCCTAGTGTTGCTCAAAAGGGAGTGATTTAGGGTAGAAAAAATGTATTTATTATTCTAGGGGCATTATTAGTTTGGGGCTTTGCCTCATTTGTCTTCAGAAATCTGTGTCTCTTTAAAGGGGACTAAAGTCATTTCCTGTGTGAAAAAGCCATTTCTTGGTCTAGGATTTGACTTTCCATCATTGTTTTTTTCTGTGTGTTCTAAAAAACTATAACTTTTTATGGTATATTTTATATTAAGACCTGAAAGAGATCACTCTGAATTTGACAGGTATATCCTAAAAACAAAAAAATGATACCAGGTTGAACTCAGTTTTCCATATTTATTATTTACTATATAATATTTCACAGTTTTTATGGTATATAATGAGTAGCAAAAAGGCCTTCGAAGACTTTCCTGCATATTTTGATTTGTGGTTTTATTTTCTTTCCATAATTAGATCTGGAAATTATAATTACAATATTCCTGTTAATAAACACACACCCACCAATGTCAAGTTCTCTCTGGAAATAAAGTAAGTGCATGGCTGTAAAAAACAATTTCATTTTTATCATTAGTTGAATATGAAGTCTGGATTTACTTCACAATTTGGTCAGTCGTTAAGAGGCAGAAAGCTATCAGTTTGTGTTAACTAATGATGGTTTGAGAGGTGGCCTATTTGAAGGAAAGGTTTTCAAAATGAGGGCTGTGATCATCCAGGCTTTCTTCAGGGAATAGAAGGGCTCTAACCTCTATACCCATGCCTACAAAGTGGGAGTGATTTTGGTTTGATACTCATAAGCTATAGACTTCCCCTGACTTTCTCACTTGGTGAGAGAGAATTGGAATGGCAACAAGAGTAATAACATGCCCCCCGATGGGAAGATGCACAGCTCCCAGTAGCAATGTTAATGCAGACACCACTCCTATTTTCCAAAAGACAGAAAAAAAAAAAAAAAGGAACCAGAGTTTGGAATTGGACAGACCAGGGTCCAAGGATTCTGTCACTTACTAATTCTGTGATCTTGGACAAGCCACTTATCTTCTTTGAGCTACTGTTTCTTTATCTGTAATATAAGTATTACATGACACCATAGCACATAGAGCTGCTGTGAGAATTATTAATAATGGTGAAATTAATAACTGCCATTTGCTGAGCACAGACTATATGCCAGACTTTAATACTGGGTCATAAAATCCTCACAGCAACCCTCCCAGGTTGGTTTTTTTTTCTTAGTTTATATTTTTGAGATTGGGACACTTGGGTTTAGAGTTTCAGGACACATAAAAAAAAAAAAAAACACATTCTGAAAATCACAGGTAGTAAGTGATGGAGCTGGGCTTCAAATTCAGTCCACCCTCTCAGCCATCACTGTCTTGTCCTGCCTCCCCAGTGAGATGAGACATGTAAGGACACTGCCCTTTCCTGACACACAGTAAGCACACAATAAATGGTAGCTTTTATTAGGACTACCTTTCCTCCTAAATCACAAAACTCTAACTTAACCTATTCTTATCAGATATTTTAAATGATTATGGCACTTAAAGACTTTCCACTAAAAAATTATGCAATGAGCTACTTTCCATGAAGATAAATGGTTTTTTGTGTCTCCTGATTTTAGTCTCTCCTTTCCATCCCCCTCCACATTTCCTTTCTTCTTCCCTTCCTTTTCTATCACTCTTTCCCTTCCCTCTGTCCTCCCCTCTCTCCCTCTGCTTGCCCAGCTCTGTTTTCCTCCTCCATCCTTCACCGCACGCCTTCTGCCTCTTCCTCCGTCTTATTCAGTCTTCATACTCTTTTTTTCATCAACTTTGCCTCTGTGAGGAACCAATGTCACTCAACCCAACTGCTTGCCTTGGAAAGGTTTCTTTTAAGCAGCTAATATTTTGTGACTCAGAACCTACCATATTTCAAGGCAGAGCAAAAGCTAAATGTACTATTCTTATAAACTGAAAGTGCTATTATCTAGCACTCCTTGAGTAACCTGGAATAACATTTTCTTATTCATCTCTAGCTTTTAGTGGAAGGAAATAAGGTTATATGCTATATCCCCTGAAGTGGCAGATCACCTTGAGCTGCTAAATCAGGACTTTTAGTTTACAAACCATTTTTCGTAAAATGGATGACTTAAAAATAACATACATACTCAACTGAGATTGTAGGTTGCCCCAACTTGTGCAAAAGGATTGTTCCCAAAGACAAATAGATCTCATCCTCTTGATGATGATTAATGGGGCCAACCTCCAGAGAAGAAGAACCGTACTTTCTGGCAGACTTTCAACTCTGATAGCTTTAAAATCTAGTGATTTCTGGTAGGACTCACTCCCAAACTCCTACCTGTATTTATTTGCCTTTTTATTTTAAACAATATCTGCCTAGACCCGGAATTTGCAAAATCAAAAATCCTGAAAGCTTCATATAAATGCAAACTCAGTGCCAGTGGAAAGAGAAGGAATATATCCAAAAATTATAAAAAATACATATGGAGATAAGTTTTGATGTGAGACAACATAAGTCATAAGATTAGGTTTTAAAAACTATCATACACAGCCAGGCTAACGTCTGTAATCCCAGCACTTTGGGTGGCCGAGGCGTTAGGGTTGCTTGAGCCCAGGAGTTGGAACCAGCCTGGGCAACATAGCGAGATCTTGTCTCTATAAAAAAATAGAAAAGAAAGAAAAAAAGAAACCATCATATACTATTTCGATAGCTATCTGAGATTGGGTTTCCTTTTGTAGTAATGAGATGTGAGCTGGCCTATTGGCATCGGTGAGCTTTGTGTGATACAATGCCTATTGTGAACTTTGAATGGATTTCCAAGTTACGTTCCCATTAGATCCTCCTCTTATCAAGATGTATCCTAGTAGAAGCTGGTAACTGCTTTTTCAGGTGCTCTTTCTTTTCTTTGTCTCTTGAAGCACAACAGAGCCATTGATAGTCTTCCAGTGCAAATTCACCCTTGGAAATATATGTTTCCATAGTAAAAGGGGAACCAAAGGGCTGGAAAGCCACAGAGAAATCTCCCAGGAGATGACACAGGTAATGTTTTCTGCCTCCTCTCTTCCCCGCTGAGAGAGGGATACATTGAGCAAATTGCCAGTGTTTTCCCTCCCTGGCCAACCCTAGTCACAGGGCTTGGCTCAGCCTCTTCCTTGTGTCCTTATGAAGTTGCCTTCTAAGGCAACTTCTGTTCTGTTGCTAGGACTGTTCTAGCAACACCCATCAAAAGCTGTGATCCCAATACTTCTCCTACAGTCATTGAGGAAATGCTTTTTCAGCCTGTACTCTTTCCTACTGACTGTCAAATGCGTGTACGAAATGGATCCTCTTTTATTCACTATTTAGGGATATCAGCACATTTGGAGCCTCCCTGTAGCCCCATTTTCTGACAGCATGTTCCATTTCCGTGTAGCTGCACCGGTAAGCTTGCTTTTTCTTTTTCTTTTCAGTGAGAAAGAAATTGAGCAATAAAAAAAAATCACTTTAACCACAGTTAATTTTTACATTAATCTTCCTTTTTTTTTTTCTCCTTTTCTGACAGGATTTAGCTGACTGTTCAACTGATCCTTATTTTGCTGGGATATTCTTCACCGATTACTTCTTTTACTTCTATCGACGCTGTGCCTAATTTGTTCAAGTTTGGGGACTTTACCAAAGAAAAATACTCAGGAATACATTTAACAGAAACGAACATCCTCTTGCAACTTCTTTTTTCTTCTTTGTAAAACATTTACGTTTATTGCTGAAGGACTTTTTCAGGCTTTAGCTTCCAACAGTTTTGAGACATTAATGAGGAGAATAAAATGTTTGCTGAAACTTGAAATAATGTGATGTTTGATTTTGCCATGACTATGAAGAAAACATTTCCTGGAGCAAACAGTTCTGTTGAATTTAAAAATACTATTATTTCTGGTATTAAGGAAGTTGTGAGCTCAAAATAAGGAGATCTAGCCTCTATTTTGTTTTAATGTATTTTAAAGCTTTTGAAAAAACCAAAAGGGCCATGTCGACTTCGGCCCACTAAACATAGACTCTTGAGAATGTGTGATATGGTATGTGGAGGAGATGTGGGGGGTGGTATCTGATACTGAGCTCACATTTAGGCAAATTGTCCTATGTGTGTGTGTATTGTATAAACACATACACTAGAGTACAGAATGTAGTTTGTTAATCAAATGGATTTAAGAGAAATAATTGCAACTCTGCTTTGCAATGCTTGATGGACACTAAACTGTGTGGGTAGGGTATGCCCCCTTGTAAAGATGGAAACTCCTATACCCCAGAGCGCACTGAAATGAATCAAACTAGCCAGTCCTAAGCCTGCTTACTCTGCCTCACCTGTTCCTTCCCTCAGATTACCACAATTAAGGGTCATGTCTGCAGTTCCTCCTTCTCCCTCTGCCTCCTGACTGTTCCCAGGGCTTCCCCAGGTGGCTCCCTCTGCCATGCCATGCCCCCTTGTCTTGGGGACTGTGAGTAACAAACTATCATTTGGATGGCAATTATCTCCTCATCTGCTGGTCTTATACCTCAAATTTTCTATTAATACACTATTTTTTAGAAAATGGAGACCCAAGCCACCATCACTGTAGTTCCAGGTAACAGGGACGCTGAATGGCTGGCTTTGCCTTATCTCATTGTTGGTCTCTGGGTCAATTAGGATAAGAAATTTGATTTTTTTTTTAGCGTCACAGAGGTAATCAGCAGCAATAAAACATCCTCTTCCTTATTTTCAGCTATTATTAAATATGCGCCATATGGATGGAAATTAATTGTGAGACCCCAACAATTATTAAGAAAAGATATGGTTCTTGCTCTCACAGAAGGCATTTTAAAATAAACATATTAACACAAAGGTTGTTTACCCAGTTATTAAGAGCTGAGATTCTGAAGCCAGATGGTCTTAGCTTAGTCTTGAGTTCAAATCATGATTTTATCCGTGTATCTTTAGGCAAGTTATCTAATTTCCGTAAGTTGCAATTTCTTCACTTATAGAAGATAGTGAATATTTGCCACAGACAGGATTAAATGAGATAATGTATGTAAAGCACAGATGATGATAGGTTCTAAATAAAGGTGAGGTGTTATTGTTATAGCTCCATAGAACACGTTCTAAATAAATGTGAGCTGTTATTGTTATATCTTCATAGAACAGAATAATTATAAAGATTACAGTGGGATTATAAAGGGATTGAGTAAATACACATATATCAAGGCATTTTCAACAACTATAAAAACTAAATTGTAGGCCGCGTGCAGTGGGATTACACACCTGTAATCCCAGCATTTAGGGAGGCCAAGGCGGGTGGATCACCTGAGGTCAGGAGTTCAAGACCAGCCTGGCCAAGATGGTGAAACCCCGTCTCTACTAAAAATACAAAAATTAGCCAGGCGTGGTGGTGGGTGCCTGTAATCCCAGCTACTTGGGAGGCTGAGGCAGGAGAATTGCTTGAACCCAGGAGGCAGTGAGCCGAGATCACGCCATTGCACTCCAGCCTGGGCAACAAGAGTGAAACTCCATCTTAAAAAAACAAAACAAAATAAAAAAACCTAAATTGTAGACAGAACCATATATATGTATATCATATAATGTTTATATTTTTTCTTTTAAACTTATTTGTATTGTTTTTTTTTAGAAACATGGTCTCACTCTGTTTTCCTGGTTGGAGTATAGTGGAGTGATCATATCTCACTGCAGCCTTGAACTCCTAGGCTCAAGAAATCCTTTTACCTCAGCCCAAGTAGCTAAGATGACAGGTACATGTCACCAATGCCCAGCTAACTTTTTTTTTTTTTTTAATAGAGACAGGGCCTCACTATGTTGTACAGTCTCATCTCAAACTCCTGGTCTCAAGTGATCCCCTCCTTCCTTGGCCTCCCAAAGTGTTGAGATTACAGGCCTGAACCACTGCACTTGGCCACCTATATTTGGAAAATTATTTTCCCTTTTATTAATACTAATAGCATAACTTTTGTAGAAAATGGAATAAAGTAGTTAAATTCTCGGGAGGAGCATTTCAGGATCCCTCTAGTTTCTTAGATTCAGATTCAAACTTGGTTCTCCTAAGCTGTAGTGTCAGCCTGTCCTAGCATGACTTAGGTCTAGATACTGTAGTTGTAGCACCATTTAAAAATGGGATCCTAAGTGGTTGATGTGGGAGAGATTCCATTAATTTGACTCTTCTCCTAGTAAAGGAATGTTTGTCAGCTGCAGAATTACAAGTGATCTTTTTGGCACATAAATCCCACGTTCTTATTTATGCACTTAAGCTTGGGATAATATGGTGGGTTTCAGATATCTAATGTAGTTCAGAAATATTGCCTATAAAGGGATTTCCATAAAATGAGTGCCATTTTCTCATTAAATTCCATTAAAAGACTGGAAGTATTTTCCTACAGAAAAACTTCTATAGGAAATTGTGTTGAAAGCCTTCAGAAAGGAAGGATTTAAGATAGTGAATAGATCTATGGCAACCTGTGACATGCTGGGATTAGTTAGGTCTATTGGGAGAACAGACTTTGCTGGAAGATTCTCTTTGTATTTGCAGTACTTTTCCAGCTGTGAGATATTCACTGTGGACCACACTGCTTCAGGCCACAAGACTTTCCTTTTATGCCAGAGAATTTTCTACTCTCTACTGGAATATCCTCAAAATCAAGTAAATTAAAGTGTCTGTAACAGTCTCCTCCCAGAAACTTATAACCCAATGCTAATCATGAGAAAAACACCAGACAAATCCCAGCTGAGGGGTATTCTACAAAATATCTGATGAGCATTCTTCAAGTGTCAATCAAGGTCATCAAAAACAAGGAAAGTTGGGCTGGGAACGGTGGCTCACGCTTGTAATCCCAGAACGTTAGGAGGCCGAGGTGGGCGGATCACCTGAGGTCAGGAGTTCCAGACCAGCCTGACCCACACGGAGAAACCCTGTCTCTACTAAAAGTACAAAATAAGCCAGGCGTGGTGGTGCGTGCCTGTAATCCCAGCTACTCGGGAGGCTGAAGCAGGAGAAACGCTTGAACCTGGGAGGTGGAGGTTGCAATGAGCCGAGGTCATGCCATTGCACTTCAGCCTGGGCAACAAGAGTGAAACTCAGTCTCAAAACAAAAAAACAAAAAAACCAAAACCAAAAACAACAACAACAACAACAACAACAAAAACAAGGAAAGTGAGAAACTGTCACCGCCGAGAGGAGCTTAAGGTGACATGATGATTAAATGTAATGTGGTGTCCTGGATGGGATCTTGGAACTGGAAAAGGACATTAGGTAAAAACTAAGGAAATCTGAAAGAAGTATTAAGTAAAGCATGGACTTGAGTTAATAATAATTTATCAATATTGTCTCATTAATTGTGACAAATGTACCACACTCATGTGAGATGTTAACAATAGGGGAAACTGGGTGTGAGGTTGATGGGAACCCTGTGTACAATTATCTTTGCAATTTTTCTGTAAATCTAAAACTGCTCTAAAATAAAAAGGTTATTTTTTAAAAACTCAGAAAAAGGTTCATAAGAGCTGGGCTGAAAAATCACATCCTGCTACCAGGTGCCATTTGTAATAACGTAGGGATAAGTTCAAGCATGAAAAATAGGTACTATATTTAACTTCAGGTCATCAAAGTATCTTAGTTCCCTGCTTTGACAATTATTTAAGGTCAGATTCTGTATATCAATCTAGTTAGCCCCAAGTATTAGAGAGTATTCTAAGATAATCATATAACATAAAGAATTAACAATACTTTTTCATGAGTTCTAATAAAGCTTCTCAAACAAGATTTTGAAAGCTCTGTGAAAATTTTTTTAAACGATTGAACCATAAAAATTCACTTACAACAAATAACTGGAATGTATGTGTTCAACCCTCCAGCATCTAAAAATTTTGAAAACACTTTATAGTGCTCATAACCCATCTCTTTTTCTGTTTTTATTTTATTTTATTAATTAATTAATTTTTTGAGATGGAGTCTCACTCTGTCGCCCAGACTGGAGTTCAGTGGCGTGATCTCAGCTCACTGCAGCCTCCACCTGCTGGGTTCAAGCAATTCTCCTGCCTCAGCCTCCTGAGTAGCTGGGACTACAGGCATGCACCACCATGCCCAGCTAACTTTTTGAATGTTTAGTAGAGATGGGGTTTCGCCATGCTGGCCAGGCTGATCTCTGTTTTTATTTTAATATATTTTTCCTATATAATTTTTGGATTTCAATATTAGTGACAGATTCTTAATAATATATTATTTGAATGATGAAACTAAAATCTTCAAAAGAAAAGCAAAAAATAAAATAAAAGCAATCTGTTAACAAACAGTTTACAAGTATTTTCACTGATGTCTCATTTGATTTTCACAACACTGTGATGTTGGGAGTGAGGGGAAGTTTTCATGTTTCTCCATTATATAATTAAGGAAACTCAGGCACAGAGAGGTTAAGCAAGGATAAGAGGTGAGCCGGGTTTTCTGGTGCTAAATTTCACCCCTTTCAACTCCATTACTTAATTTCCCCTTTGAGATTTGTTTCCTCTCTTCATGACTCTTTGGAGTTGTGAGAGACCACCAACTCAGATATTGACCCACTGAAAAGTCACTAACACACCAATGGCTCCGGAAAGTGCTATTTCTTCAGACTTCTTAAGCAGATAGATTAATTAGAGGCCATTTTGTCAAAATACAGACTAGGTAGAGAACAGAGGGACCTAGATGGGTGGAGTCTCCTATCACCAGCCACTATGTTACATCTTCTATTGTGCCAGAGCTTAACAACTCACTTGAGAATGCTAAATATCAACCTCCATTTGAGAAACACTTCAGTAGAATCTTCACTTGGCAAAACTAAAAGGGTTTTGGCTTTCATTTCTTTAAGGACATGTGTCACTGATTTTTGTGAGTGATTCTAAACAGCCAGTTGAACTCTTAGGAAGCATTCAAGGATTAAGCATCTAGTGAAGGCCGGGCGCGGTGGCTCACGCCTGTAATCCCAGCACTTTGGGAGACCGAGGCGGGCGGATCACGAGGTCAGGAGATCGAGACCATCCTGGCTAACACGGTGAAACCCCGTCTCTACTAAAAATACAAAAAATTAGCCGGGCGTGGTGGCGGGCGCCTGTAGTCCCAGCTACGTGGGAGGCTGAGGCAGGAGAATGGGGTGAACCGGGGAGGCAGAGCTTGCAGTGAGCAGAGACTGCGCCACTGCATTCCAACCTGGGTGACAGAGCGAGACTCCGTCTCAAAAAAAAAAAAAAAAAATCTAGTGAACTTTTGTTGAGTGGTTGTTTAAAGCTTGAAGAAGAAGTGCAGCTTCAGAGACTTCCAATTTACCAACAGTGTTGAGTATACTACCCCATCATTTTTGGGGCTGGATTCTGTGAATGGGAAAGTCTTTCTCAGCCCTTAAGATATATAACTGGAGCAGAAATGAGTGCCAAAGATCACAGTCCCAATCCTTCAACTTCTTTATGGCGCCATACAAATATAAAATGAGATCATTATTTTAGGAAGATTCCTGATAACATGTCTTTGCCAGAGCTGAGTTCTCAAGACATTTTTAGCTGTACCAGACTGACCCACTGTTTAAATTCAAAAATAACTGGGAAGAGAACTAAACTCAGAGCCAGGAGACTTGGGCCTAATAATGGCTCAATAACTCGTTATTGGTGTTGTTGTGGATAATTCACTTAACTTCTATGAGTTTCACTTTCCCAGTTGCAAAATTGGATTTGTAATAGTTTTGACTACTACTAAGGGTTTTTGTGAACACTAAATGAGATATTTACATGAAACCTCTTTGCAAAGTGGAAGATGCTATATGAATACAGAAGTCATTAAGAATGGTCCCTGGCCAGGCGCGGTGGCTCACGCCTGTAATCCCAGCACTTTGGGAGGCCGAGACGGGCTGATCACGAGGTCAGGAGATCGAGACCATCCTGGCTAACACGGTGAAACCCCGTCTCTACTAAAAATACAAAAATTAGCCGGGCATGGTGGCGCGTGCCTGTAGTCCCAGCTACTTGGGAGGCTGAGGCAGGAGAATGGCGTGAACCCGGGAGGCGGAGCTTGCAGTGAGTCGAGATCGCGCCACTGCACTCCAGCCTGGGCGACAGAGCGAAACTCCGTCTCAAAAAAAAAAAAAAAAAAAAAAAAAAAAAAAAAAAAAAAGAATGGTCCCTGGGAAGACATTATTTTGAATGAATAAATCAGATGTTAGAAATTCTTATTTTAATGAGTTTCAGTCCATGATGCTTAGGGTAAGTTATTTACATTTCTAGCTACTGTCTTCTTCACCTGGAAAACATGTTACTTAGCATATAGTAGATGATCAATTAACATATATTAAGCAAAAAGTGGGTAATAGAAATATTTTCCTCTTATTTACCAGGGACTATGGCAAGATGATACACTAAAACAGATTTGAATTCCTCTCCCTGTTACTGTGACTTTTTTTATTGCTACTATTTAAAACAACAGGATTATTATTATATATTATTATTATTTGGAATAATAGGTTATTGTTCTCTTGCCCAAGCTCATTTAAAACACTTCTAAATGACTTCCCATAGAAACTAGAAAAATCGAATGGCTTATCATTTGTCTGTTAGAGGATTCCAGAACCATGATAGTCAACTACAGCTTATTATTCATTATTTATATTTATATTGCTGCATTTAATTCTGTTCAGCACAACTGCATAAGTATCTAAATTACTTTCAGGTTAATTGTAGAGCATTTAATGAATGTTTCATATCATATCTAAACATTGAATGCAATATGTCAGCAATTAGGCTGCTGTAGTATTTGCCCTGATGTGAGCTGTAAGATCGTAGGCCTGTCATCGTATTCAGTTACCGAGAAATCTTTCCTTTTAAGTGTGGACACGCTTGGTTTTCAGGAGAAGTATCAGGAATTATCTACAGTAGAGAAGCTACTCAAAGTTATGTAAAAAGAAAAAGGCTCTTAGTCACTTCTTGGAGGTAAAAAACAAAAACCAAACAACCTCCCCCACCCGCCACCACACAGACACACAAAAAAAACTTCAGCCTAGATGAACCTGCACATATTCCTTCTGCCTCTGAGCTCTGTAATATGGTTTATTCATTTTCACTCACTCACTCACTCACTCACTCATTAGCTCACTTAACAAACATTTATGGAGGACTTTCGGTGTGCAGATTTTATACAAGGTGCTAGGATACAACAGAAGCGTGGCATCATTGCTGACCTTTTTGAGGCATCATGGACTAGCCAGGCAGCCACACAGTCAGCCATCACACAATACCAAACTGGAGTTGTGGCATTGACATTGTGCTGGGAGAGAACAGGAAAGGGGTCATAAATTCTGCCTTTCAGGTAAGTGAGAAAGAGGAAGCAGGAAAGGGAAGACAAGCAGGAAGAGGCATCTGAGCTATCTAGGTCTAAAAGGATGAGAAGGGTTTTGGGGTTTTTGTTAAACAGAAATAGAGAAAGGTAGATGTTGCATATGAATCAGTTTTTTATAAGAAAGAGTATGATTTTAAGTGCACCAGGAACTGCAAAGTAATTCCTACCCTCTCCCATCTTAAGCCAGCTCTTCTGTTAGTTTTACTAACAGGAGAGGCACTCTTATTTCTGAAAGACACCACTTCCTTTCCTCAGCTCCAAAAGCCAGCCATCTGTCCCAGGAGATTCAAGGAAACTGTGGGAAAAGCAAAACATGTTGGATGGAGCATGGGATGACTCAGTGAGCTGGCGATGAGACTGTGGGTGGGGAGGCTGAGCCTGAGGACAATGACTGATTCATCCCCAGGTACTGCTGTCTCTCTGTGCTACCATAGAGATAAAATTTGTGTAGTGAGCAAGGGCCACAAGTCTTTTGGTCACTCCACCCATTTATAAATAAAAAGTTTTCCTTCCTAAAGAAAGTTTACTTCTATTTTTAAGTCTCAGGTGTTCATGGTGGGAAGAGCTGGGAGAATCTAAGTTCTCCCTGCATGCCTTTCCCCTTCTTTTGGTAGCAGCACCCTGATTTTTCCTTTAGTGAACTCTCATGCCGTAGTGCTCAGTCTCTATGAATCAGGTGAGGCTGATACCATCCCATCGCTCCAGAGAAGAACACATGACTCAGGCTTTGGCAAAGACAACATTTCATTCCCTTGGCTACAGTGATTGCTTTAGGGGTAAGCATATGACCCAGGTTAGGCCAGTCACACTCATCCTTGGGTGTCTGACTGAAACCATAAGCAAAGAGGTACTCTCTGTGGACGTTATTAAGCTGGCAAGAATAAGCCTGGAGCTTCTGAGAACCACCTTGCCATCATGGTGGGCAGCCTGCCAGAGAATGAAGCCAACACAAATGAAAATAGAAGATATGATATGAGAAGGGCAGGTCTTTAACCAGATAAGAAATTTACATTTAAATTCCCATGAAAGTCCCCCATGGACTTAGCAGTTAGGTGGACTGCACATTTCCATTTCTCTTTAGTTAGGCTGAATTTGGATTTTGCCACATTGCCAAAAGAGTTCTGATGAATACTGGCTCTTATGAAGACTCTTTCAACACTTTGCAAGCAGGATGCCCAACTGGCTGATTCCAAATGCTGATACCTTATTTATGAGGTTGTTGGTTATCATTCAGGGTTTGGAAGGTGGCTCTCCTCCATTCCCTAATGGCTTCCCTCCATTTACCTCTCCTCCATTCCCTAATGGCCGCTAAGTCCTAAGTGGATATCAAAGACATCTTGTATTTGTATAGTGCTTTCATTTTACAGTTCTACAATTATTTCTCTCTCCTATTTTATTTTTATTTTTGGCAAGGAACAAAAACTCAAAGTAACTAACAAACAGTGGGTTTATAATATAAGAATGTAGAAGAATTGCACACCAAATGTAGGACGTGTAGCTGAGCTTCATGAGAACTAAGAGAGTCACTAGAGGCTAATCTCACCATCTCTCTCCTTAGAAGTCCACATGACATCTGCCTGCTTCTCTCTACAAGCCTGCCTCATTCTTCTTTCTTCAGACCACCTGTTCTGCTTGCTCATTTGCTTGCAACCATCATGGCCACCCTAAAATGTAGTCTTGGACCCCAAGTCTCCATTAACTTCCAGCTTGGTTCTCCAGGGCTAAATGACTCAGTATCTCAAGTTTTAAATTCCTATGAAAGAGAATCTGACTGGTTTAACCTTGCTCAGCTATCCATGTGGGGTTTAAGCAGCTGTGGCCAGGGAAATGTAGTCGGTAAGGCTACCTCTTTCAGGCTAGGGTTGGTGGTGGTGGATAGATTTTGTAAGTAGGGAAGAAAATTATAAGCATTTTCAGTAAAGACAGTGTATCTCATTTGGTCCTCATATTTCTGAGAGGCAGAAATTATTATTATTCCTATTTTACATAAGATTTAGGATAAGCGGCTTGTTTGAGGCTATACAACTAGGAGGTGACAACTGTAGGATTTTAAACTCAAGACTTTTCACTTCAGATCGCAAGTGGTTTCCTCAGCACTATTCTGTCAATGCGAAATTACATGGTCTCACTTTCTTGAGCATCACAAACATATCCAGTCTTGATTTTTAAGGATTTGTTTTAACAGCACTAACTTATGGTTTTAAATCAAACATAGCAGTGATCCAGAAAGAAAAGGATGAAGAAGAAAATCTGAACCATAGGTCTTGGATGAAGCCCTGTTATCCATTAATGAAGAAGTGAGCAAGAGTGAAAATCCTGTTGGGAAAATTTCAAAGGAAAAAGTAGTTGGTTAATGGAGGGCCTGTGCTTGGGGCATGTGTGTGGCTCACTGCTGCTGCAGGGGTTTCAGCGGTAGTTAAGACAGCTGGAGATTCAATTCCTAATTGAAAGGTTTGAGCAGTAAATTCTGCCAATTGAATGATGGATCTCATCATGAAGTATTCTGTCTGGGTCTTCTGTAAATATGGATAGCTGAATCTCAGATTTATAGTTCATGCTGCCACAAACTCAGACTTTCCTACTCTGTTCCTTACTTCCCATCTTTCACTAGACTTAGAGTAGACAGAGGAAAGCAAATGTTTGTTAATACCATTACAAAGTTACATAATTTTTATAATTTTAATTCATACGAATTGTGGAACTCGTCTCTAATGTGACCTACTCTGGAGGACTCATCCCTTTCCCCCATCCCACCACTCTCAAATCCCACCTTAAATAGTTCTGATGTCCCTGAGGGTCCATTCTTAGTTGTGATGTGACAGTTGCCATTCTCCTTTTCTCTTTTGTGGCTCCTTGGGGAATTATCTTTGGTCACTACCATTACCAAACTTAGTGGCT
Source organism: Homo sapiens (assembly GCF_000001405.40). Taxonomy (NCBI): domain Eukaryota; kingdom Metazoa; phylum Chordata; class Mammalia; order Primates; family Hominidae; genus Homo; species Homo sapiens. Next base: position 69,969,171 of record NC_000012.12, read on the forward strand.
CACACATCAACACTTACCGAAGATGTCACAAAACAGGTGCTGCTGTTACTGCCATCAGTGTCTGTGCCTTGGCAGCTTTAGCCAAACCAGTGTTGAGGGCTCTCACTGCCACTGGAGGGCTGGGTCTGTGTCAGGCCTCCACCTCAAGGTGGGCTGTGCTAAGCCAGTTCTTTGTTGGCAGCCTCCTCTTCCTAGGATTCAGCCTAAATTGACTTAATGCCGCTTGACGTGGAAGTTGGGCCCTACTGTGTTAAAAATATCTCCCACCCAGAAGCTGCTTTTGTCCTAGAGCCAAGCTACTGGCCTCTACTTGCTTCTCCTGGGATAAGCGTTTTGGTTTTTCATGTACAAAGATCCTGGGAACTCACCTCATTTTCAGACATGCTTGAATCATAGTTGAATATAGATTTTAGAACAAAATATAAACAAATACATGTGAATATATGGGACACTTTCTGACAGGTTTTCCAAAGTTATCAAATAGTGTTTTATATAATCCCACCTCTGAGGTAGGGTAAAACTAATTCGTATTGGAAAAGCAATGGATCCCAGGACACATATGCTCTACTTTAGCTCCTGTGTTTCTGGGCTTGGAATCCTGGTGATCAGGGTCGTCCCAGGTAATGCTATGTCTTACACCCAGAGACTTTGTGCTCAGCAGCTAGACTTTCAAGGAGAGAGTGCTACTGTCCTTTTATAGACTCACTTTTTTTTCTTTTGTGACAAGAGCCAAACCAACCAACCAGATAAAAAACTTAAAATACCACTATTCTTGAGGAGCACACAAACCCAACTGGAATACTCCGCAGGTGAGACACTCTCCAGCTGAAAGATTTTTCTCTCCCCTGACACATTTCTGCTCAGAACAGATCTCTGACCTTTGAAGTTTTAGACCAATCTGTGTGCTAATAATTCATTAATGGGTTTTAGTTTTTCATTCACATCTTAGTCACAGACTTTCTGGAACAGATTGTTTCTTAAATCAAATTTAGGACATCTACTTAAAGTACTTTTGAAATGCAAAGATTTTTTTTTGTAAATAGTGATTTCCAAGTGGAATCATTTTGTTTCTATTATGACACTGACAGGTTATTAAAATCTATACGTTTAGATGTTAGATGGGTAATTTTTGATCAGGGGAATGGAAAGTGGAGAAAATAACTGGTGAAAAGAAGGAACAATAATTGTGTGTGTGTGTGTGTGTCTGTGTGTGTCTGCGTGTGTGTGTGTGTATTGTGTCCATGCATGTAAAATGAAGTTGAGCTAGCCAAAAGTCAAGGAGTTCTTACATTCTATCTATCCAATCCCTAGTGTCTTAACAGGTTCATAATTGTATTAAAAGGACGTTTTGGCAGTTAGGAAGCTGAGACTGTTCAAGTCTGTGTAAAGGGTATTTGTGAAGCACCTGTGATGTGTCTGTCATAGGAAACAGGGATGTAATCAAATATAAATTTATAATAAGGCATCCTCTTACTCTGAGTTGCTACTTTTAACTGTTGATCCCAGGCACTCTTAGCCGGAAAGATTAAAATTCACCTCAACTCCACTTTGGCTGCTGATGTGGTTTGGGTGTCCCTGCCCAAATCTCATGTCGAATTATAATTCCCAGTGTTGGAGGTGGGGCCTGGTGGGAGGTGATTGAATCATAGGAGTGGTGCTTCATGAATGGTTCAGCACCATCCCCTTGGTACCGTACTAGTGACAGAGTTCTCATGAGATCTGGTTATTTAAAAGTGTGTGGCACCACCCCCTCCCTTCCTCCTGCTCTGGCCATGTAAGATGCCTGTCCCCATTTGCCTGCTGCCATGATTGGATGCTTCCTGAGGCCTTCCCAGAAGCAGAGGCCACTATGCTTCTTGTACAGCCTGCAAAATTGTGAGCCCATTAAACCTCTTTTCTTTATAAATTTCCCAGTGTTAAGTACTTCTTTACAGCAATGCAAGAATGGACTAATATAGCTGTTAATTACATTCAGTCTCAAATTTAACAATCTTTCCCGGGGTTGAGACAGTTTTGTATATGTAGATGTGTTAATCGTTCATTCTCATGCTGCTATAAGGACATACCCGAGACTGGGTAATTTATAAAGGAAAGAGGTTCAATTGACTCACAGTTGCGCATGGCTGGGGAGGCCTCAGGAAACTTACAATCATGGCAGAAGGGGAAGCCAAGATGTCCTTTTTCACAAGGTGGCAAGAGAGAGAAGTGCGGAGCAAAGGGGGAAAAGCCCTTTATAAAAACTATCAGATCTCATAAGAACTCACGCACTATCCCGAGAACAGCATGAGGGTAACCACCCCCATGATTCAATTAGCCCCCACCAGTCCCTCTCACCACCCGTGGGGATTATGGAAACTGCAATTCATGATGAGACACAGCCATACCATATCAGTAGGCTTGCATTTTATTGGTTGTCTTCCCTTGAAAACAATAAGGGATTTTATTAGGCAATGACTTTCTCAAGTGGTCCATTCCTGAGCAAAGGGAACTGCTCTCCAGGAATAACCCACTTGGCCACATGATGGGCATCTGCTCCCCAAAACCTAGGGAGCTCATCAGGACCCAGGGAAGGAGGATTATGGAAAACTCTGAGAGGGGCCCATTTCTTTCTTTTCTTTTCTTTTCTTTTTTTTTTTTGAGACGGAGTCCCACTCTGTTGCCCAGGCTGGAGTGCAGTGGTGCGATCTCGGCTCACTGCAAGCTCCACCTCCCGGGTTCACACCATTCTCTTACCTCAGCCTCCCACGTAGCTGGGACTACAGGTGCCCACCACCTTGCCCAGCTAATTTTTTGTATTTTTAGTAGAGACGGGGTTTCACCGTGTTAGCCAGGATGGTCTCGATCTCCTGACCTCGTGATCCACCCGCCTCGGCCTCCCAAAGTGCTGGGGGCCCATTTCTTTAAATTTGGCCATGATGTATTTCCTTGGCAGAATATGAAAAAAGTCCAAAATTTCAACACACTACATTTGTTTGGTTCTTTAGAATAGGGCTTCTCAAACGTTAATGTGCACACAATCACCTGGTGATCTTGTGGAAATGCAGACTCTATTTCAGTGGGTCTGGGGTGGGGCCTGAGAACGTGCCTTTCCAACAAAGTCCTGGATGCTGTTGATGCTGCTGGCATGAGACACACCCTGAGGAGCAAGACTTTCAAGTTTGGCAAGTGTTTTCCTATGTCATCTCACTCAGTCCTCATGACAAGCCTGTGAGGTACCTGACACATCCCCACTTCCAGCAGTAGAGGCAGGTTCCATGAGGTAAACAGACTTGCTTCGGGTTGCACAGCAGGTACGACTTACTCTCAGACATCTGAATCCGCGTCCTGTGATTTTTCTCCCACACAACTGTGCCTCCTCTGCGTACATCTTGGCCCATAACGCTTCTCAGGAAGATGCTCCAAATCAGGGTTTTTGTTTTCAGAGAGCTTCTTCATCAGCACACCACTGCATTTTTTCCCATTCCCCATATCTTGTTAGATGGGTTCTTTTATGTTGCTTGTCAGTATGTTTAGGTGGTGATTGTCATCCAACATTCTTGCTATCCCTCTCCACTTTATACTATCCACAAGTAGATATAAAATGTCTAGTTTCTCTTATTTGAATTATAAATACAAGCTTTTCTTCGATGTTTGAAGGCTCAAGTATTGATGGATACACAGAGGACTAATCTCTGGGAAGTAATACAGGCAGTATATATAGAGTCAGAGTAAGAGATTAAACATCTTATTGATAATGAGCAGGTAACAAAGTGGGAATCATTATAATAGCATAAGCTGGAAGTTGACAAAAACATACTGGGAAAACACATGGATTCTGGAGTTTTGAATCCTGGTTCTGCCTGACCAAATGTGTGATGTGGGGCTAGTTACCCAACCTCTCTGTGCTTTGATTTCCTTGTATGTTAAAAGGAGATAACATGTTTTTTGTGACAATACATTTCATTAATTCACAACAGTCCCCCACATATATTAAGTGTTCAATAAGTATCAGTGCCTATCCTTATTACCAATTGGATAGTCCAATCTCCTTATTTTTATTTTTTGAGAGAGGATCTCACTCTGTCACCCAGGCTAGAGTGCAGTGGTGGGACCTTGGCTCACTGCAGCCTTGACTTCCCAGGCTCCAGCGATTCTCCCATCTCAGCCTCCTTAGTAGCTGGGACCACAGGTGTGTGCTGGCTCATTTTTGTAATTTTGGTAGAGACGGGGCTTCGCTGAGTTGCCCAGACTGGTCTCAAACTCCTGAGCTCCAGTGATCCACCCACCTCGGCCTTCCAAAGTGCTGGGATTGCAGGCATGAGCCACTGCACCTGGCCAATCTCCTTATTTTTAATATGGAGCCAGAGAAGCCCAAAAAGCTTAAGTGATTTCAACATTCATTAACCAACAGTTTTGGAGCTTTCACTATGTAGCAGATATTTACTAGTTGGTGAGTAGGCAAATGTTATAAGTTGGGAAGTAGTGGAGCTGATAAGTGAACACAAACCCTCTAGTTTCTATTCTATTATGGTAAGTGTGAGTGTATGTCTCCACACTCACTGCTGCTCTTGATCTGCAATTGTTCTTTGGTATTTCCAACAGTTCCAAGGGCAGCATTGCCTTTAACTCCATTGACTCTAGTAGCCATCAAACTTTATCTTCTTTTCCCATTTGTCCCAGGAGGATCCTGGGAGTGTGGAACGAAAGATAAAGAACCTTAAGCTGAGCCCTAAGTGCCCTAGACTGGCTAAAGAGGTAGGTCTGGAGGTCAGGAGTGCTCTTAAACCCCAGGGCTTGCTGATGCTCTTCCCAGGTCTGAGTTTCCAACCCCACCCAGAGATTGTTGGTTTGAGAATCAGCATAGTTTACCTGGCTGAACTTCGCGTTATTGGCATTTCTGTCCCCCAGAACAGTAAGGAATTTGGTTACCCTGGGCCATGGCTGGGGCACTGGTTAGCAGCTGCCCCTCCTGCTCATTTTGCGGCTCTATTTCAACAAGACTTGAAAACCTTTGTCTTCAGAGAACTCTCCGGCTCTAAGCTTTTGTGCTTTTGTTTGGAGCAGCCTGTTCTTGTACTTGTAGTTTCAGGTAAGGCATCTGATGTGTAATTAAAGGATAAACACAGAGAGAAATAAAAGTATTTTATTACTTATATGAAGTGAAGTAGGTGCAAATAATAAAAAGTGCAAATGAATTTGAGAGAGGAATTGTGCAAGCCCTTAAGGGGCTATTACCCATCTTTAAAAACCAAGAGTTGCTTAACATGTTACTACTTTGTATTTTCATCTTCATTTAGAACATAAATTTACGGTGACTGCTGGCAAGTTAAGGAGTATCTTCTTTAATAACTAAGCTTTTTATTACAAATGTTTGAATCTTACTGCAAATTATTTTGATATTATTACACCTCTTCCTCCTTCAACAATACTATCTAGAATACTCTTATAATACCTCCTGTGTGTGAAGCCTGTGTGTGCAGAAAACCCAAAAATGTTAAGAATAAACTTTTAGATTTACTGTAGCCCATAGTAATTTGCTGCCCCAGATACAGTGTTTTGGGATTGCATGGGATAAAGGACTCCAAATTGCAAGCTATGCAAGAGAGAAGACATTATGGTTCTTTGCTTTTAGACAAGAAATACATTTGTAATATTAACTTCCCAATGTATTGATTTGTGGAGTTGGACAATGTTCAACTTAAAAAAGTTGTTTTATCGGAGTAACGCATGCACATGGTTTCAGAAGTTGAATAGGACTAGTAATCTTATTGATGAAACTATAGTATTCTCATGCATACCCTTCCACTCTCCATTGATAGCTATTTTCTACTATTTCAGCTCTTTATTCTTGCACCAGCTCCATAGTTCTAAATATGCATATGCTGCTATTGTTTATCAATTTTAGATATTGAAGTAAATAAAGATTTTAGCTCTTCTACCTCCTACCCCATCCTCCAATATAATTATATGAAAATTTTCTAACAATTCATATTTTGTGTTTTCATTATTCTGACTTTATAAATATTATTCATAGCTGAGCTTAGCAGTATGATTATATTTTTTTGTAAATACTTGTTATTGTTGTTATTATTTTCTGGGCTCTGTTTCCTGCTGCTGTTGAAACATTTTTCATCAGGCACAATTACTACACTAGGCTGATGACCAGAATTTGCCAGGCCCTGTGGTTAGTGGATGTCTCCACTACCTGTACCTCTTCTGGCAGCACGTTCTTCTAGATTGATTCCCTCTGGCTTCTACCCAACCCCATTGAGCAGCAGAATGTGAGGCTCCACCAGAGCCCAAGATTCATACGTAGGGTTTAGAGATGGCAAGAAGGAAGAGCAACATAATTAAAGGCAAGAGCCAAGCTTGAGCATGGGATTGTCTAGAAAGAGTTTTCTGAGATCTTTAGATGTTGTGTGCTATAGAATCTTACCATAGGGTGGATGTGGGCACCAAGTTAAGTGATAGCTTTAGAATCACAGTTGAGGTTTCTATTTTCTTTGTAAATAGGCCATGAACATTTGTGCAACCTAGAAATTGATTTCATTCAGAAATATAGTATTTGACTCACAAAACTTGGAGCCACTCACCACACATTTAGCCATCAGGCCCCCTTTGGCTGTGTCCTCCTCTTGTCTTTTTCTTGTCACTAGTTGAGAAAAATCAAATGCCTGCCAGCAGTTTCACTCTAGCCTGCATTGCAGATCCTCAGAAGACTCAAGCTCAAAGGGAATCAAAGCACACACACACACACACACACACACACACACACACACGGAAGAACCAACCACAAAAGGAATCAAAGCAAGTGCAAACACACACACATATTGGTCTTCTCTGGATTTTTATTTAACCATCTCTGATTCTATTAAGACCTTGAGTACACACATCAGAGCATATTAAACTTTGAGATGGGGATGTATGAGAAGACATTGCTTGATAGATGTTATTTGCCAGACTTTATTTTTAATTCCTGTCTACGAGAATGAGAACCACTCCAGAATCCTCCTTTTTCTGATTCTTTGTGGCTAGAGAAATAGAAGAGGTAATAAAAGATGAAAGTATTGGCAGGGATGGGGTGATGGGAAGCTTGGAGAAGACCATCCCTGTTGCGTTTTTACTTTCAAACTCTGGATATGGAAAAAAACATCATTTATAATCATCAAAGCAAGTTCACTAGTTCATAAGCCAAGAATATGAATAGAAAAATGCTGGTAAGTAATTTTAATAAAAACCGAAGTCCCTGTTTCAGTTTTCCTGTTTTATGCCCCTAGGGATGGGAATAATACTCAAAATATTTACAAAATTATCAGGCTTCTCATGGTCAATGAAGGGAGACTCCTAGACTTTCTTCCAGTCTCGTTACTGATATTTAGTCCATTAGAGCATGGATTAGGATTTTCTTCTTAAAACTTTTACTTTAAAGGCATGATTTACAAGTAGAAAAAACAAATCCTAGAAGTGTATTCAAATCTTGAATAAATGGAAAAAGAAATGTTTGACTAATTATTGGAATTAATATATCTCAAGATAGAATTTGTGATCCATAAACCAAATAGAAATGGTATACAGAAGATCCAAAAATCAAACATTTGTGAGTGTTTAGCACTGTTCTTACAAGAAGATGTTAATAAGCTGGCATTATAAGCATGAGGTCCACTTAGCAGGTGTATCGATAAACCTGGAGATTGATATCTCAGCATATCAATCTGATGCATGGATCTTGCTTTTAACTCTACTTGCCCCTAATCTGTATTGTCAAGAAAACTTCATGTTGTAATCTGGTTTTCCATATACAGTTTCTATAGGGAGCAGGTATTTGATCAACTGACATGAACATCCGAATCAGCTTGGTAGCTTTGGTTCTCACTGTGAATGAACTAGATTTTGGTTTGGGTATCACATTCTAGAGATGTGGACCTGCATGAGCCCAGCCATCAGAGAACTGGCATGTTCCGGTGTACTAACAAAATCAAATTAGCTTTCAAATTTGAGGTAATCCAACTAACTTACTCCCCTTTCTCCCTGCAGGTCTGTTTCTGCATTTGCAGGGCCCTGGATAAAAATACAAATGAAAGGCTCAGGCCTGTGCTTTATCCTTTTTCTCTTTCCACCGATGGTTCTAACCTTCACATCGGAGGTTTGTGAGCATGCATGAAGACCTCCAGCCACCAAGTCCAAGCTCTGTCCTAGTTCCTGCCTGCCCAAAAGCCACCCATTGAGTACCTCTTGGCTCTAGGGGTCCATATGTGGCAATGGCTGCCTTTGGGAGGAAAGACCCTAGAAGGACCAAGCAGGATCTGGCACTCACTACAGGCCATTTGGCGAGGATGGTCTGAGGGTGAGGGGTTGACCTTAAAGTGGACAAATCTTTTTGGCTTTACGGACTTTTCACCCTGTGGAGAGGAGTTTAGCCAGAGCAAAGCCAGGTTGGGGCTCAAGGCAAGGGACCTGGTTGCTCAGCTCTAACAGTGATACTGTCCACTTGATCCCCCTTTCCCCACTGCAAAGACATGCCCGAGTGACCATGTTACCTCTTAGGATGACCTCTCTGTCTCCACTTTCAAAAACTGCAACCGTTTCTAACAGAATGTATTTTGTCAAATTGTGGTCTAAGGGGGATCTGACTCAAGCCTAGGGACCATAAACAAAGAAGTATCTTGTTTGAAATCACTCTCCAGAGAACTGAGAGTAATTTTGGGGCTCTCTATTAACATTTGTATAGGTTTCTCAGATGCCAGTCCGGAGTCACAGCCTCTTAATTACAGGGTCAAAGACAGAAAAGGCTTTACTTAACTGCTAATGAAAGTCCTTAATCCGAATGAACCTGAACTATTTAGCCCAGGAAAATTCTTGCACAGTGTCAGCAAATGATATTCAAATAACTTTAAAATAATCGAGTCTTCCAGAGTTTTGTGCTTGGCTCACGGAAACAAGAATTTGAAAGGAACAAACTGGAATTTACTTGCTTATAAATGTGCTTTGGGGCAAAACGGTTGCAAAAGCGACCACATTTTGTTTCAAGAGATTTCTCTGCACACACACTCCATCCGGCCTAGCTTACAGAACAAAGCCACAGAGCTGCATTAACTGTGGAGCAGAAAAGGAATTTCATCTATACAGCCAGCTGGTCTATCATATATATTATAAAGGGGGGTTGGAGGGGAGGAAGAGAAAAACATAAAACATAACGACACAGAGCAATTTCATGCAATCCTTGATAGGAGATGCCTTAAAGTTAAATGGATGGGAAATCAATATTTGCAGAGTTCTGGGTGAGATAAAAGGTTGGCCCTTTCTGATAATATTGAAATGGCTGAAGAAGTGTGGCCAGGGGAAGAAAAGACTGGCCTCCTTGGCTGTTCATTCCATTTTATTTTATGTCAATCATTTATTCAACCAGTATTTACATATCTGTTATATGTAAGGTATCATTCAACAAGAGACCATTTCTACGAATTCTTTTCCTTTACCTCCTTTCTTATCTTTTCTTCTATATCCGTCTTCAGCTAATGATAACTAGGGAGGCAGTATAACATAACAGTTAACCACTCAAGCTCTGTAACCTTGGGGAAGTTATTTTACATTTCTGAATCTTGATTTCTTCATGTGTAAAATAGGAATAGTAATAGTGCCTACTTTACATTAGTGGCTTGGCAAACACTAAGCTCCCAATAAATGTTAAATATGAATAATACTATGAAAAGGATTATAATAATTTGTTTTATAGACAGAGATAATTTAGAAGTCACCTTTGGGAAAAATAACATCCACAAGAAGTGAATCTAGGATAATGTTTGTACCTTCCAACATTTTGTATTTCTTGAGCATGAAGGAACCACCAACATTTATTGACCAGGTACTATGCAAAGATATAAGTAAAGATTTTTGAATATGTGATACTTGTCAGGGAGGATAAAAAAGCTTTTTCCTCTACTTTTAGGTTCAGTGGCTGGGACACTTGAAAATAAACTGACAAGACACAAATTAACAGCAGAAAAAGGTTTATTTCATATGCATTTAGGGGGCTCACAGAAATGAGGCAAAAACTCCAAAGAGGCAGTCAAACCTGGAAGCTTAAATATTAATATCATTTTGTAAAAGAGGGATAAATTGTGGAGACGTGACAAGAAAGAAAGGAAAGGGGTTTGTGCTTCTCTAGGTAGTAAATATGGGGAAGGTAAATGTGTGGGGGAAGGTAAATGTGTAGGGGAAGGTAAATGTGTGGGGGAAGCTAATGAAAGACAGGTTGTCTTATAAGGTTGGTTATGCGGATTCCTCTCCCACGTCTCAGAACAGGTAGAAGTCTAGAGTTGTCTGGTGATTAAAAGTTGTTCTGCCCTTCCTGGTATGAGAGAGGGAGAGGAGGATGACTTCATGAAGGAAAATTTATTCCCCACTTTAAGGCAAATGGGGGAATATAGAGAACTTTTTCCTTCATCTACTGTTTCTTAATTGCCTTCAGCTCAAAATAATCTTTATGCCAAAGTGGCAGATTCTGAGATGGCATATTCTGATTCCTTCCATATTAATTAATAACCCTCACATAATACCCTATAAATTGGGCACTATCACAACCTCCATTTTATATTTGGATAAACTGAGGCTCAGAGAGGTAAGATACTTGTTATGTTTATACAACTGGTAAGTGGTGGAGCTGGGAATCAAATCTAGGCCTCCAGAGCCCAGAGCCAGCATTCTCAGCCATTACTGTCCCTGAAACTCCTCATGGACAAGATGGTGGCAGAAATCCTGAAACAGCCAGGATTACAGATGAATTCTGATTCTAATTTTTAGATTATGGAGAATACCAGTTGGTTCAGGAATTGGGTCCCAGATTCTGTTTGGTCATCATCTAAAGGAACTCCTCATACTGTGCCAGATGATGGGCTCTTATTACAATAAGAAGAAAGGCGTGTTCTGAAATTCGGAATTAAGCGTCTGAAGCTACTCTTTACTGTGGTTCCATAGTGAACAGTTATTCTTTCCTCCTTTGTTTATTCTCACCAGAGGGCAGGGACTGTTTTCAGCACTTGGCAGTGTCCTTGCACATTTATGTGGCTCCCTATTTGTACAATAAGTAAATGTTGGTAGATTGGTGCTCCTGTCTGTAGATGAAACAAAATCTACTACATAACTGGAGAAAAACAATTAGGGCCTCGAAAAACCTCAAGGTTGAATAATTTGGCTTTACTAAATGAGCAGTATATATAAAATAATTCGAAGAATTCTGAAACTAGTTACAGAATTCTTCCTTGCACAGTTTTTTTTGTAATTCATCAAATCTAAATTCTCAAGAAACTGGCTCTGTTGTTTTGCTTGTTATTTATTACAGGTTCAGATTAGTTCATTTTCCTTGTAAATAGAGCACTCTCAGAGTTCATTGACAGATCCTTGGTTTCCCATTTAACGGCTCTAAATGTGTTTTCTCTTGGGAGAGGGGTTGTTGGAAACATTTGCGGTTGATGAGCCATTTGTAGATTGATGCCTGGTCAAAAAGGTTCAGTTCCTACCAACCCATATACCCATAGAGGCCATAGTAGCTGGAGGCTGGGGCAAATATGAAGGTGAATTTAGACTACTGAATATAAATATTATCATATTGAGGTACAGAAACTTACAGGCAATTGCTTTATTATTTCCACACAAAACTCATCTCAGGATACTGTCTAAGCAGGAAGTCTGTTGCAGTGGTTAAGAATGCAGTCCTGGAGATGTCCACCCAGCCATTGGACTGCAGCATCCATCTTGCTGTTAAGAGGAGAGGATGGGCCTGAATGAGGTACCAACATGGCCAAAAGCAGATCTGAGAGAGTGAGAAACCAGGTCCTGAAGATGCAGTTGGACAGCCCTGATCAAGCTCAGCTCAAAGCCAGAGCTACTCCCACTAGATTGTTCAGGCACATAAGCCAAAATATTTCCATTTTGCCTTAACCATTTTGGGTGGGGTTTTGCCCCATCATTCACATTCTAGTCTCCATATATCAAAAATGTTTTCAATCTCCAAGCCTAGTTTAAATGCACCTTTCTGTGAAGGCTTTGTCATTCCCACAAGCTTTCCTTATTCCCTCCCTGCCTGTCTCCCTCCCTTCCTCTACTCGCATCAACTACTAAGTTGGCTCCTTAACTAAGATCCTTACCAATTATGCCTTGAACTGTTAAGTGCCTGGGGATTCTGGAGCCAGATTGCTGAGGCTGCCATCCTGGCTACAACACCTACTAGCTATGTCATGTCTTGCCTAATAGGGTATAAGGAGCTCAAGACAAAGATCTTGGCTTGAGCTATTTTTCTGTTGTGCCACTTCATCTTGTTAGGCCGTTGTCCCATCCCTATGAACACAGCCTGTTTTTAGACCTCCCTTTGAGTTCATGCATTGCCCTTCTGCCCTCCTCCTCCATCAGAGGACTGATATTTCTTTGGCCTCCATCCTATACTCACACTCTAGGTCTTTGCCTAGCCTTGCAAATATATTGGGATCCTTGATTTCCTGAGTCTTCTCCATTCTGTTGAAGCCTAGTCAGGATTATGACATAAATATACAACCTAAGTAACAGAATCATCCTTTCTGGACAGGTTAAGTTTGCTCCAGTGGTTTATCTTGACTGCAAATGATTCATTTTGCAGAATGACATAAAGTAACTCCTATTCCCTGGCCACTAAAAATCATCCCTTCGAAACCTTTACTGTCCTGCCTTTTCTTTCCTAAGAGGCAGTCCAAGGGGTTAACTATTGACAAAAATCCTTCATTTAAATGAACGAATTCTGAAGTTTATGGAAAGGATATTATATCCAGATGTTCATCTAAGATGTTGTCCTTGAGCAAATGGGAAAATAAAACAATATAATTTAATAGAGTCAAGATGCATAAACAGAGAAGAAGGAGGATTAAAGGCTTTTAGACAATGGCCTGGGTTATGATTTCATTTCTGCCACTTAAATATGTGACTTTCAGCAAATCACGTAATTTCTCAAAATGGGAAATTGTTCCCTTCTGCAAAATGTGACTAATAATAATCCATTTTATCTCTATTACACCGAGCTGTGATGATGATCAAACTGGCGGGTGTATAGTTGCTTTCTACGTAGATAAGGTGCTGCTGTTATTACTATTACCAAGTGCTCTAGGGTGTGAAGTCTCATTTCTTAGTGGGACTGTTACACAACATGTGGTAAAGATTAAACTCCAACATCATTGAGAAATGCAAGTTTAACTCTTTATGAATTGGCCACATGTATTTTGTGGCTGAAGTAAGGTCTGAATTTCTGAAATCTGTTCCTGTTATTTCCACATTTAGAGCTGACAACTATAATTAGATTAGATGACAATAATGTAACATAACTATGTAAATATAATTATGACAGGTTAAAGAAATAGAGCACAAAAGCAAGTAGAAAAGCAAGTGGGAGTATTGAACTGGAGGGATCTATCAGGGTGGTGGGTTCAATGTTCTTTAGGCTTATTGTTGTATTCTGGGCTTGTACCTACCTCATTCTAATCAGCATTGGATTTCCCTGCTTTAACATTATATAGCTTTTACCCAGACTCCTTCTCATCATGGTGTGAGCTTAAATTTGGTGCTATTGAATTTGTCTTCCTAAAGTATCCCTCAACAAGATTAATTTAGCTGAGGTCTTCCTATAGATAGTCACTGGGTTGACATTCACAACGATGTTGCAAAAACAACCTGCATAAAACTGATGGCATCTTTGCACAGATCAAGGCAGCAGCACCAACCTTACTAGTAGTCATTGATTATACTCTTTACTACCAATGACACCCAACCTTGGCTCCCTGAACCCCTCTGTGTAGGGCAAGACCTCAGATGGGATGGCCAGGTAGTGTCTTCGGGAGGTTAGACCACTGAAGTACTGAGTGCAGGCAAAGACACCTTATCCACAGGCATGGCAGGGAAGCCCAGAGCCTCTGGACTTATTTTTGGGCAACAAAAAACTCAGGAGGAACTGGGACAAACTAGAGATTAGAGATTTTTCTCCTGGCTCTGGGTTCCAAGAATTCTCTTGCTTTCTGGTCTTATCTTGCAAGCAGATTCAGGCTCTTTCCACCAGCCAGGCAAAACGGGAGCTTAAATAAAATAAAGTTGACTTAAAGGAAATAAGGAAATGCCAAGGGAATAATTCTGGCACACTGAAGTTTGTGAATGGAGATGAATATCTACTACTGTAATAATGCGTATGGCATTTGTATTCTCCCTGTTTAGGGGACCACTCGTTTTATGGAAGATATGTTATTGAAGTGTGTGCCTGTGTGGCATTTGTTTTGTTCTAAAGCCAAACTGAAGTTCATTATACTCTGCTAAGCCCCTAGTGACTTACAGGGTTAGAAGTGTTTTTTAAGGCAATTGATGACACCACAGCAAAAGCAAAATCAGAATGTGGGAAATCCTTCAGCACATTCTTTGGAAGATGAACAAATACAAGCAGAAAGGAATCCAATAGGGAAAGAAGAAATTCACTGAAAGATAAAAAGTAAATGAGGTAGAGAAGATTGACTTTGCCCACACATTATCCACTTAGTCATTGAATAAGAGGACAAACACAAATCAATAATTCTAGTCAACTCCTTGAATTCTCATTTTCCCCAAATAAGATTCCTTCTCTCATTTCAAATCTACCCAGATTACAACTTTCTTTTTGCTACAAGAATTGAGCCCATCCTAATTACCTACCTCAATTATTTTATTCACGTGACAAATATTTATTGAATACTTCCTAGGTGCCAGCCATTACGTATACAAAGAAAATAACATATGATCGTTGATGCAGCAGAGACAATATTAATGTAGCACCAAACCGTGTTTCCTGTTCTTTCCAGGCACACAGCTAGATGGAAACAGGCTAAGAGAAGGTTAAGTTGGCCAAGGTTACATAGCTAGTAAAGTTGCAGAGCAGAATTCACACTTATGGTAGAGCAAAATTCAAATTAGGTAGTAGGCTCAAAAGCATACCATTAGCTGACATTCCCTGTGTAAGTTCTGTGCCAACCTGAATTTCAGTAAGGACTTCACTGGAAGGTAAATTTTATGAGGGCTAGCAACCTCCCCTGCAATTATGTAGGGTAATATGGCAGAGTCAGTAGAGCGGAGGTAGAAATGATGTCTGTCATTTCCAGTCTTGACCTATCAACATCTCTCTCATAGTCCTCTGTGGGCTCTTTTTTTCCACATCTGCCAGCCAAATGCTGATGAACTAGTAGAAGATTCCAAGGTCCTCAGGGATGAGGAAATCACCCAACGGAAGATCCTAGAACCCTGGAATGCTGAATGACTGTATGGAGTAAATGACTCCTAACTGACTCCCATTGGACTATAACGTGTGAAAACACACATGCACACACATGCGCCCCCGTGCGCGCACACACACACACACATCTTTATTGGGCTAAGCCACTGAGATTTTAGGCTTATTTGTTTTAGCAGTTAGACTGCCATGACTAATACATGTGCCATTAAAAAAAAAAGTCTACAGTCCAGTAAGGGAGAGAGGAATGTAAAAAATATCACACCTCATAATAATTATTCCTCTCAGAGACATCATGGTGCTATGGTATTTATGAATGCTCTTTGTTACCATATTCATAGAACCCTGAAAGGGAGATGACCGATTGTCCTACATGTGATGCTCAGAACAGGAGTAAAACACAAATAGTTCAGGGGCCAGGTTTCACACGTGTAAGTGTGAGCCAATGGGAGAGCAGCCAAAGGCGAGACAAGAGGGAGCTCTAGGAAGTGGGCCTGGCTGAAACTGGCACACCCATATCAAAGCAACCAGATTGATTCTTTTAAAAACTTTATTGGCTAAACAAAAAAATGGCCAGCTTGAAGTCACAGTTCTCATGTGGGAGATTTCACCTAGATGTCTCTAGGTGACCCCATTCTAGTGCTGATTGTCAAGAAGTTCTTGGGTGTATAATATGTTCTTATACATTTTTCCTTGAATATCATCTAAAGGCACACTTTCCAGTCCAAGATTCTGGATCTTAGTGCCTTGGATCTTAGTGCCTTGTTCCTTTGAGACCTACAAGTTTTGATCTCTAAGAGTCCAAATTATTAATCTAATACATAATTAGTGACAAGATCAGCTACATAATTTGTGGAGTCCTTTGCAAAATGAAAATACGTGCCCCCCCATCCAAAAAGCATGAAAAAATGCTGTTTTGGTACCAAAATGTTAAACTTTTAAAAATAATAAAAATTGTAGGTACATAGTAGATGTATATTTTTATGGGGTACATGAGATAATTTGCTACAGGCATGTAATGTGTAATAGTCAAATCATGGAAAATGGGGTCTCCATCTCCTCAAGCATTTATCCTTTGTGTTAGAAACAATCCAATTATATACTCTTTTAGTTATTTTTAAATGTACAATTAAATTATTATTAACTGTAATCACTCTGTTGCGTTATCAAATATTAGGTCTTATTCTTTCTAACTACAACATATTAAAATTTTACCATGCCTGATATGTCCTGCCCTGGCTGGGGACAAGTAAGTCCTCCAAGGCATGCACCTTCCAAACCAGAATGCACTTAGCACCTGGCTCAAGCATGGGTGACAGGCTCGCACTTCCTGAACAGCCCACTGGGTGCACTGTGGAGCTGTCAATCCAGGGTGGGACTGTGGCCACCACTCCCTAAGATGCCACAGGGAACACACACCCAACCTCAGCCCTTCCCTCTCCCTTGCCCAGACTCTGGCCAGAGTCAGAGTCCTGCCCCCTCCCCACAAGACCTGGTTGCCATCCAGGGCACCACGGGTGGAGGGTAAGCAGCCAATAACCCAGGTGGTGATGGGCACTGAAGCGGCGGGAGGTGGGGCCCCACATAAGCAGAGGCTCCAGGTGCCCACCTGTGCTCCATTGTCCCATCAGACTTCATCTACACACAATTCAAAGATAAAATTTTAAGAATCTGAAGACAGCAATGCGAAGCATTGAATCCAAGTGGGGAGCCCTTCTGACTGGTGGCCCTGTGTCACTGTGCTGCTCACAGACCCACGAATTCGGCCCTGATTATGGGACACCTACTACCTGCTAGGCACGGGGATGCCATTCTGAACAACATAGACCAAGTCTCTACCCTCATGGAGTTTATACCCTTACAAAGTCCTTACTGAAATGTAGATAAGCCTGAGAGGGGTCATAGTTCAATGAACAATTTAATTAGAGGGAAGAGTTTGCAGATGGTCAGCTTTTGAGCTTACCACAAAGATTTGAAATGTGGACTCTGCTCTTCCACTTTTATTAGCAGTGTTGTGACATTGCACAATTTACTTAACATACCCTAAGCCTATTTCTTCATCTGTAAAGTGGGAATGATAATAACACCAATTTCTTTTTTTAGATAGACTGGATTATCTAAAAATGATAGACTGGATTAAGAAAATGTGGCACATATACACCATGGAATACTATGCAGCCATAAAAAATGATGAGTTCATGTCCTTTGTAGGGACATGGATGAAATTGGAAATCATCATTCTCAGTAAACTATCGCAAGAACAAAAAACCAAACACCGCATATTCTCACTCATGGGTGGGAATTGAACAATGAGATCACATGGACACGTGGAGGGGAATATCACACTCTGGGGACTGTGGTGGGGTGGGGGGAGTGGGGAGGGATAGCATTGGGAGATATACCTAAGGCTAGATGACGAGTTAGTGGGTGCAGCGCACCAGCATGGCACATGTATACATATGTAACTAACCTGCACAATGTGCACATGTACCCTAAAACTTAAAGTATAAAAAATAAATAAATAAATAAAGTTATTGGCATGGAAATGAGAAAAAAAAATTTTAAATTATACTTTATGTTCTGGGATACACGTGCAGAATGTGCAGGTTTGTTACATAGGTATACAGGTACCATGGTAGTTTGCTGCACCCGTCAACCTGTCATCTACATTAGGTATTTCTCCTAATGCTATCCCTCCCTAAGCCCCCAACCCCGACAGGCCCCGGTGTGCGATGTTCCCCTCCCTGTGTTCATGAATAACACCAATTTCTATAAGCAAAGAGTCTGAATGGGTGCATGCTCATACTATTATTACCCTTTAGCAATAGTATTAGTACTATTATTAATATTCATTAACTGTAGCCTAAATGAACAAAAAGAAAACACACACAGTTGGAGGCATGGGGCAAAGGAGAGTACTCAGGTGAAAGAAGCACTTATTGAAGCTAACTGAAATTTAGCTTGTTTTTACTTATGTAATGCCAGCTGAATTAGATTATCTCTTTTTCCTTTGCTGAATTGCCGGAATAATTTGGTGCTGTGTGAAAAAAAAAATGCAAGTATAGTGCCCTGTCATTTTTGTTAAAGAAAACAGTTTTGAAAGTTAAGCAAAGTAAACATTTTGCAAAGTTAACTGAAGCAAAATCAGTTTATTTCTGATTTCCAGAGGCAAGTAAATGATGACATGTGATGGACTCCTCACTAAACTATGGGTCATGAAATTCAGGATTTATGTTCACTTTCACCACTAATTGATTGAGTGCATTCTTTTTAACCTCTGGAGAATTGTAGCAGTGGCACTTGCCACATTTCCTACTGAAGTATTTTGCAGATTAGGTCAAATTCTTAAAGTACTAGCACTTTAATGAAACGTACTTGCTCAAAGATTAGGAAAAGCAATGGAGAAGCTGTTTCTTGATTTTATAAAGAATCCAGGAAGTGTTTGAAATACAGTTGGATTTCAACAGATCTTGATTGTGACCTTCCAGAGAGGCATTCATAGGTCTGGAATTTCCCAGGATGCTTTGCCAGGAATTAGTGTTGAATTACCAGAAAATCAGTATGACACGTAGCACACACTTATCTAGATAGTAAGTCAGCACACACACACACACACACACATTCACACACACCTTTCATTGTTGGTGGAGCTGCAATTCAGGAGAAAAGGGAGTGTCCCAAGCAGAGATGGAAATGATTCATTTTATAAGTTGTTCTATAAAATGGTCGCTAGCTGGAAATATACCTTTATTCATAATAAAATGCAAATTCCTTAGATTCTGTACTGTCTTTCATATTTATTTTATCTTATTTTAGATTTATTTTCATAACTCCCCATGCAATTCTCTCAGCGCTTTCTAGTGTCTCATTAATATAAACTATGCTCAATCTAAATCATCTCCATTATTTTCCTCCATTTTCTTTTCTTTCATTCCGTGTGTATGTCCTTGGCAACTTCTCTTTAGCATGAGTCTTCTTTAGAGATTCAAACCTATAGTCCTTTTCTGATAGCACGGATGACATCTCCGTAAATCTGGTCAGGAATCACTCCATATTGTGTCTGAGGATTTCTTTTTTGTCCCTGGGTCTGCATGTTTCCACAGTCAGACTTTCTGTGCCTGGCTGAAAGCCCAAGATATTTAGACTCTCTGGTAAAATAAATCCTTTCCATTTCTGGTTAGTATACTCCCTGAAAATCCATGTGCTACAAGAGAATCCTAGGGTTAAAAATTCAGAGAGCTGCGGGGAGGGGAGAGACAGGGAGGGAAGCCTGGGAAAAGCAGATAGAAAACTTTTGGCTCTTCATCTGGGCTGAGTTACTTAATCACTCTACCTTCGACCAGATCCTCAAGAAACTTCCTGGACTCTCTCAGGAAGCAGATTACTCTATCTGAATGAAATCTTCCGTGGGAAATAAATTGCACAAAGAGAGAAGAAGAAAAAAAAAATGTTTCAAGCTCCCGTATGTATATTTCAAGTGATTTATCCTCTCCCCAGAATTCTTGAGCTTCTTTATTCCCGGGGTTTATTTTGTTTAAAATAACATTCCAGTGACTACCCATAATTCAGCAACCTAGATTCTGTCCAATTTCAGATTAAATAGGTAGCAACTGTCAGACACCATAGTGGAGTTTTCCTGTTTCTTCAAGGGAAAGTGAGGAGTGACTCAAGTATCTTTTCATTTAAATTACCTCAAACTTGGACAAAGCTTATGAAATCCTCTATTTGTCACAAGGTTCAGAGTGCTCAGTAGTAACCTGGATGTATTCTGTTGTGTCTGTTTAGGATCAGTTACAATAATTACGACCCGCCCTCCATATCTGACAGAAAAGTCTATGGGCTCTTTCTCCTTCTCGCTGTCTCCTCGTGTGTGTGTGTGTGTATGTGTGTGTACAGAGGAACACTTAGATGACTTCTTCTCTCACTAACAATTCTATCCACACTTGAAGGCCTTTATGGAGTTTCTCATTGCTGACTACTCCTCAAGGGAGGAAGGTGGAAGGGATGGGATGTTGGTGGGAAGAGTCATGTATGGGAGGAGAGGCTGACATACTTTGAGGGCTGCTGTGTGCCTGCACTACTCTGGCCATAGAAGGTGGAGGCTGAGTTTGTGTTTGCTCCTGTTTCTGCCACTTATTAGGCATGTGAATTTGGGCAAGTTAGCTAACTTCTCTAAGCCCCAGTTTCCTCATCTGTAAAATGCAGACACTTGTGGGATCATATCTAACACTTTTTGAGCACTTTTTGTGCTAGGCACTGTTCTAAGTGCTCATGTGCCCACAGCAACCCTATGAGGTATTAGAGATAAAATAGAGAATTCAAGGAAAGTGCTTAGCAAATAAATGTTCAGTAATAGTTAGCAATTATCATTAGAATATATTTTATATTATTGTGTAATATACCTTATCTATAATATAATCTATCTTATTTAATTTTCTCAAAACCCCTATACAGTTGGTATTATCATCCCTTTTTTTTTTTTTTTTTTTTTTTTTACTATGAGGAAACTAAAGGAAGTTAAATAACTTACACAGATTTGCTTAGCGGCTAAGAGATAAAATAGGAGGACTCAAATTCAGGTCCTCGTAAATTCAAACTTGTTCTTTTTTCCCCAGTTTTGAAAAAAAATTGCCCATTGATTATATAGAAACATTGTCTTCTGCACTGCGGCTGCAGAGTTTCTTGTCTATGATCCTGCTTCTCAGGACTGAACTTGGTCCCAACAGCTTTGTCGAGAAAAGGGGTCGGCATTCTGGGGCACATGTGCTTGGGTGGCATTTGAGAGTATTTCCACAGATGGGTTTAGCTATTGCTGTCATTATATACCCATCCCCAACTCCTTACCCAAGAGTGCTTCTGAGACCACCACCACCATCTTGTCCTGACTAGTCCTTGCTCATTTTCCAGGTCCTGGTTCAAACATCATGCCTTGGGGTCCCCTTCCTTGAACACTGACCTTCTATTCTTTTAGTCATTCAATTAGAAGATATTTTAAGAGGTCCTACTATGTGTCAGGTACTCTTCTAGAAGCTAGAGTACAGTATTAAACAAAGCAGACAAAATGCCCTGGCCTCATGGTACTCTCATTCTTAAGTAAGTTTCCCCATGTCATCCTGAAATTCTTGCTCATACACCATTGCATGCTTTTGGTTATTTATTTGTAAGATTTTGAATTAATGTCATTATTCCCCACTAATTTCTAAATACAAAGAAGGCACAGATCATAGGAGATTTTTCTCTGTTAACACAGAGCTTTGCACTTAATCGGCACCCATAAATATTTGTTGAATAACTGACTAGCCATGAAGCACATCGATTCATCCTTCTTCTAAAGAGCCCTGGCATAGGGCATTCTCAGCACCAACTCCTAGGGTTTCCTCAGGTGCTGTGAGCTCGGGCAGTGAGCCTTGGAACCAGACACAAAAGGTCCATAGTCTAAAAGGAGAGGGTTCCCTATTGTGACCTACCTTGTGTAAATGGTTTCTGCCCTGGGGATGTGGAAACAGGAATCTTTGCATAGTGCTCATGGAGGTACAGACTGTTGCAGCCATTTTGGTAAGCAATCTTGTAGAATTTAGTCAAATTAAGTAAGCATACATCCAGTGTTCCAACTATATCCCTCCTGGGTATGTATCCCATGGATATTCTCACCCAAGTGCATAAAAGGACATATATAAAAATGTTAATTTCAATATTTGTGGGTGTCTTCCATCACTGGAAAAGCAGATGGGTAAATATTGTGGGGCACACAATTGGGTATTAAGCAGCGATTAGGAACAATGGGTTAGTTATACATCCAACAATATGGAACATAGCAACATAGAGCCACACTAATGCTTAGTGGAATAAGTAGAAAACAGAACAAGATGTTTAACATAACCATTTATGTAAGTTAAAAATCCATGCACATAAATCATTACATCTTATGTTTTGCAAAAACATATACAAATAAAAAAGAGCCACACTAAACACATTTAAATGATTCCCTGTGGTGAAAGGAGAATGGAGGTGGTGATGGAAATAAATGGAAATTAATTTGTGTAATAGATTAATTTATAAGTAAATAAGGGAGGGGCCTTGCATGGACCAATGATGTCACTGAACAGAAGGTTCAAAAGTAAACATATTCTCCGGAGCATCTGCCCTGTTTGTGGTCCCACTTGCTAGACTTGTCTGCCTGTTGTGGCCACTCCCTGATGCTGCCTTTAGATCACATAGTTTACAGAGGTGCTTTAGAATATCATAAATTTGTTTCTTCTTCTGTGATGGTGACCCTTGTTTTTCTTTCCCCATAGCAGTTGCTTGAGAACTCTGAGTTCCCAGTGTCTGCTCCTGTGCAGCTTACAGGGAAATTTGGCAAAACAAGCGGTGTCATTAGGCTGGCTCAGCTGGTACTACTCCTGGAATCTCTGTGAGTGATCTGTCCCTGCCTTGCTGTGATTGCTGAAGCATAGCCTGCTAAAGAATCCAAGAATCCAAATGTGGCATCTGGGAAAGGCTCTGGTCTCCCAGTCACATAGAAATGTTGACATGACTTCTGCTGTTAGTTTGGAGCTTCATGCCACATTAGTGCAGCTGTGGCCTGTCTGTGCCTGGAGTTTCCTGGACACAGGCAGCAGTCATGTTCTGTTTATTGACTACCCCTAGCGCTGTGGTTCCTCATTATTGACACTGTTGTCATGCCGTGGCTCTCAAGTCACTGTTTCCAGAACTTCGGCTGTGCATACAATAAGCTGCCACAGAGAAGCAATACCACCATGGCATGGCGTTGGGCCGGCCCTTACTGTACTGCAACAGGCAACTTCTCACATGGGGGTGATAGAGGCTGGACTCTCCAGTGTAAAAGCTTCTGGGTTGCAATGCCCTGAGGAGCATCCAGATATGTTTTGGGAGCTGTGACACCAGAGAATAAGGGTATAGTCTGAGAAAGCAGGAATGAGGGAAGCGTGAGGGCTGGATGGAATGGAGTATGCCATTGTGCTCAATGACTCCAGCTTGGGACAAAGGTTGAGCCCATTACAAGAGTGTCAGGAGGACCACATGAGGCCAGGCACACATTCCCAAAGGGGCTAAAATTTTGATTTTTGGTATTATATCTAAAGGAGTATACAACCAGGCACAGAAATGCTCTGAATGAGGTCGGGTGCCGTGGCTCACGCCTGTAATCCCAGCACTTTGGGCGGCCAAGGTGGGCCGATCACAATGTCAGGAGTTTGAGACCAGCCTGGCCAACATGGTGAAACCCCATCTCTACTAAAGCTACAAAAATTAGCTGGCATAGTGGTGTGCACCTGTAATCCCAGCTACTTAGGAGCCTGAGACAGGAGAATCACTTAAACCCGGGGGGCAGAGGTTGCAGTGAGCTGAGATTGCACCATTGCACTCCAGTCCGGGAGACAAAGAGAGACTCCGTCTCGAAAAAAAAAAAAAAACTACTCTGATTAGGTTGGTAGGGGAAGAATGTCATCAAACCACTTTAAACTGGTGGTCTACTAGAGCACCACACAGTCTATAGTACACTGCAAATAAAAATGTACCCATAAATCCTATTAGTTATATAGAATGTTTATTGATGATAAAAAGCATTAATTTCTTAAATGTAAATAGCTATAATAAACTAATAGACTAAACATTTTATAACCCTCTTTTGTCATTTCTCATATATATATATATGCTAAAAGCCTCAAAAAATGGAAATGGCCAGCATATTTCAACCTCTGAGAAGTCTTTGGTAAAGGACACACACAACACACTGTCTCTTTCTCTCTTTCCCCCACACTCCTCCCCAACCCTTAATAAATAGAATCAAAGGATACACAGTTTTTTTTCCCACTTAGCAAAATAGAAGCATCTCTCTTTTCATATCTATAAGTATAGATCCCTATTATCCTAGTTAACGGCTTCATGGTTTTCACTGTGTAGATATGCATAATTATTTAACCAAATTCCTATTGCTAAATGTTCAAGTCATTTCAGATTTATCAGTGTTCTAAACTGTGTGACAATTAACATCTTGTTTGTTCATCTTAGCACATTTATCCAACTGTTTGCTTCAGGTAAATTCCTAGGAGTGGGATTTCTAAGTCAAAGACTTTTTAAAAAAAGGCTCTTCTACATGTTGCTAAATTTTCCTCCAGGAAGGTTGTACCAATTTACACTCCCACAAAAGGGGCACACATGTGCCAGTTTCCCCAACCCTTCACCAGCACTAGATAACATTAGTCTTTCATTCCCATTCTGACATCTGGTTCTTCCTCTGAAGCCTGGGCTTCATCACCAGTAGCTTGACCTCTTTCAAGGTTAAGCCCGCATGGCACTTTATCATTTAAAGAGCTGGCTTCCCACTTGGAGGGAACAAATCAGCTTTCTCCATAAAACAATGAAATGTTTTCCTGGTCTTTAAGGTTGAACTAAACTTTCCTTTAAATGTGTGCCTGGATTTGTGAGTTTAACTGGTAAGGATAAACTGAGCCTATTTTAAAGCTCAGTAAAATTAATGCCCAAGTGAAGGATCATCTGTGGTCAGGACTTATCTAAATTGGAAAATCATTGTCAAGACACCACTGAATTGCATCCAGGTTACCATCCCTCTGATTTACCTTGGAATTCTAGTTAAACAAATCATTTATGTCCTTTAAAAAAAATCTATCTTTTGTTCAATCATGCTATTTGTTTTAGACGTTTAAAAATTTTGTTGGTAACAAATCATCTCACATATCTAATAATATTAACATTTTGTATTTGCTTCATCATTTTTTGTTTCTTTGAGATGGAGTCTCAGTCTGTCGCCTAGGCTGGAGTGCAGTGGCGCAATATCTTAGCTCACTGCAACCTCTGCCTCCTGAGTTCAAGTTATTCTCCTGCCTCAGCCTTCTGAGAAGCTGGAATTATAGGCATGCGGCACCACGCCCGGCTAATTTTTGTATTTTTAGCAGAGACAGGGTTTCACCATATTGGCCAGGCTGGTCTTGAACTCAAGTGATCTGTCACTTTAAGTGATCTGTCTGCCTCAGCCTCCCAAAGTGCTGGAATTACAGGTGTGAACCACCACGCCCAGCCTGCTTCATCAATTTTTTTCACTAAGGTAGTCATAAGATAATTTGGGAAATTACGGCACTTGATCTCCTAAGAATAATTCATTCTTATAATTTATGTTTCCTTTCATTTCAGAATATTCTGTGTGTTAGTTCCATGAATACAGAAACACACACACATACATACAAATCCAAATAAAACTTTTTCCTGCTAAGAGTCACTTGTCCTCTCAAGAATTACATTTCTGTCCTTTAAAAAAAAAAAAGTTGAGAAGCAGAGTTCCTACCTTTGTGCTGACAGCTCATGGAGATGGAGAAGCCGTTTATGAGCTCAGGCTTGCCCTTGTGTCAGTCAAGGACAAAGTCCAGTCTAGAGATGGCATCTCTCCTCATGTGACACAGGTGTCTCTTTTTAGCCTGATTTTTGGAAATAAATTGCAAGTGCTACTCAACCCATTTCCGTATTTTATGAAATTATTTTTTTTAAAAAAGATAAAGTTACAAATGTGACTTTGCCCAGCTTATCTTTCTTCTATGGTAAGTCTGCTGGATGGCTTCCAGGGCCTGTAAATCAGGAGATCCTGGCTGCCTCACCCCGTAGAGAAAGTAGCGGGGGAAGAGAGGCTGGCTGTAAGCACTGTGAAGGAGGATAAACAAGGAGATTGCGGTGAATGCACGAGATGATTTTCTGCAAACAAGGTCCAGGATTTCAGACTAGGGTGGCATTAGCTAAGAGTACAAACTTTCAAATTAGACAAAAATGAGCCCAAAGCCCAGCCAGCTCTGCCATGTTCTAACGAAGTGAACTTGGCCATGTTATTTTTCTTCTCTAAGCCCCAATATTAGAATTTATCTTAAGACCATTTTAAGGATTCAATGAGCTAATATATATATAAAGCTCTTAGTAGAGTACTTGTATAAACTACTCAGTAATGAGAGCTGTTTTTTTTTTTTTTTTTTTTTTTTTTGAGAGGCGTCTCGCTCTGTCGCCCAGGCTGGACTGCAATGGTGTGATCTCGGCTCACTGCAAGCTCCGCCTCCCGGGTTCACGCCATTCACCTGCCTCAGCCTCCCGAGTAGCTGGGACTACAGGCGCCCGCCACTACGCCCGGCTAATTTTTTGTATTTTTAGTAGAGATAGGGTTTCACCGTGTTAGCCAGGATGGTCTCGATCTCCTGACCTCGTGATCCACCTGCCTCGGCCTCCCAAAGTGCTGGGATTACAGGCGTGAGCCACTGCGCCCGGCCGAGAGTTGTTATTATAATTAGTTGAGACACAAAGATCAATTTCCCTTCTTTGACATTACTTAATATACTATACTTCAAGGCAATGTTTGGCAAACTACAACCCGTGGGTCAAATCCACCCCGATGCCTGATTTTGTATAGACTATGAGCTAAGACTGGTTTTTACATTGATAAATGGTTGAAAGAAGATCAAAAGGAGAATAATATCTTGGGACATATGCAAATGACATAAATTCAAATTTCAATGTTCATAGATAATATTGTATTGAAATGCAGCCACACCTATCGTTTATGTATTGACTATGGTTGTTTTTGTGCTACAGAGGCAGAGTTGAATAGTAGTGGCAGTGATCAGATGGTCTGCAAAGCCAAAAATATTGACTATCTGACTCTTTACAGGAAATGTGCTGACCCCTGCTCTAGGAAGTTGTTCAGCGTGGGCAAGCAGGAGGCAACTTTTCCTTGCTATGGATCAGAGACAGTGCTGTCCTCTGTCTCCTTCCATATACTTTGTCTGGTTTTTGCTAAAGAAAGAATCTGGTGAAGCTGTTCCCTGAAACCCAGAAGGATTAGCCTGGACAAGGGGGTGCAAATTAATGGTTAATAACTGGCTTTATGGAAGGCAAAGAAGCTCTGATGTGTAGTGTTGGCTGATTTCCATGGTTTGAATACTTCCACCATGGCTAAATTTTAAGCTTACCAACAACATGACATCAACTGGCTTGAAAAATTCTGTGACTTTGACCATTGATTCTTGTGAGCCCTGCCAGCCAGCTCCAGCACATCTCCTGACCTCTGCTGATCACGTCACCATTGCATTTCTCCCTGGAGTTCTCTTAGAAATGTCTGTACTATGTGGGGGCACTATAATTGGTTATTGAGTCACCAAGGAGGGGGGTGTGACTTAAAGTTCTGTGAGGTGCATATCTCAGAATACACGTTATTCAGAAACAACATATTCTCAACAGCAACTTATGACAGATTTAACATAGAGGAAAGCTGACACACGTGTGGGGAGAGACAGTGCTATGAACAAAGAAGTCTGAGTGGTATGATAAAAGATCTGGTACACGCAGTTTTTTATTGGAGAATGCCACAGACCCTACAAATTTATTCATCTTACTCTTGTCTCTCTGATGCTGGTCTTTTTCTGAACATGGCCAACAGAGTGAGCCGTGAGGCAATCTCAAGGGAGAGCATCCAGCCAGGGAGCAAGTGCAAAGGTCCTGGGGCAATTGCTTCTTACCTCACTCTCTCCTCTGTGCTTCCCATGGGCCCTGACCTTTCAACTCTGGGGGCTTTGCTTTGGGGAATTATTGGGTTGATCATACAGTGACTAGACTGTGAGCTCCTAGAGGCTAGAATTCTCTTATCTGACTTTGTGTCTCCAATGCCTAGCACAATGCTACTTATAAGTGTGTAATAAACAGGATAAAACCCCTTCATGATTAGTGTAACTCCCTTACCATGCCTCCTTGGAAGTTCTTTCCAGCAATTTGTGTAGGGATTCTGAAAAAGAATCTTGTCTCCATGAAGCCAGCATTTCCAGTGTCCCATGGGAAATGCAGCCCACATTCTTCTCCTCTTCATTCTTATGTGTTGGGGCTCACTTTTCCTCTTCACATGTCCCAGGGAGAGGGTTAAAAGTTAAAACAGAGAAGTATAGAATGGGTTTTTAAACAAGTGTTGCCAGCCTGGTGCACAGAGCTTAGAAAAGAATGGACTGGCCGGGCACGGTGGCTCATACCTGTAGTGTCAGCTACTCAGGAGGCTGAGGCAAGAGAATCGCTTGGATCTGGGAGGCGAAGGTTGCAGTGAGCTGAGATCACATCACTGCACTCCAGCCTGGGCAACAGAGGGAGACTCCGTCTCAAAAAATAAAATAAAATAAAATAAAAAATAATAAAGAAGAAGGCTGACTGATTTTCCATGTTCAGATCAAGCCAGAGGAGGGAATGGGGAAAAAGAGACTGATTACAGTTCCCTTGATTTGATCAGTGTGTGAAAATTAAAGAAAATTAACTCTGGTCATTGAAAACCTTCTGAAGAGTGTTCATTTTATCTTCTTTTCTTCCTTCTTCAAATAAATTGCCAGTCTTACACTCATTCCTCTCTCTTCCTCCTTCCCCCTTTCCCTCTGCCCCATCAATTGGCCATTTTTTTTTTTTTTTTTTTTTTGTCCATGACTTAATACAGAGCCAGATAGTCTTGAATCTGCATGATGTAAAGTCAATTTCAGGCTATTTTCCCAAGGTGATCTGGGCTGTGCAGGGCCAGCCATATTAAGAATCTGTTTTGGTCGGGAGGCTGAGGTGGGAGAATCGCTTGAACCCGGGAGGCGGAGTGCAGTGAGCCGAGATCGCGCCCCTGCACTCCAGCCTGGGCGACAGAACGCAACTCCATCTCAAAAAAAAAAAAAAAAAACTATTTTAGGCAGAAAACACATTGACTCATGAGGCGTTATTTTTACATTCCTTGTTTTTCTGGTGTAACTATACTCCAGAAGCATATTTGGATTGAAGCTTAAGCATGACGCATAAAAGCCCACATTGTTCTGAACACAGTATAATTTTAAGTTAGACCACCGGTCACCCTAACAAGCAAGGAAACATTCCACTATGAGTTCCCATTCTTTCTCAATTGGAGTAGAAGCAAACTTCTGGTTTGCCTCTGGTTTGTATGCTAGGTTATTTTGCTCAGAAAGCT
The DNA here is from genome assembly GCF_000001405.40 of Homo sapiens. Lineage (NCBI taxonomy): Eukaryota > Metazoa > Chordata > Mammalia > Primates > Hominidae > Homo > Homo sapiens. The sequence continues at coordinate 69,998,399 of NC_000012.12, forward strand.
GGAAGAATTTGCTGGGTGAGGAGGGTAAGCACTTGGTTAAAACAGGCAAACTGAACTAAATGAAAGACTTATTTTGTTGAGACAAATTTCCAGTTATTGGCTTCCTTGATGACCCTTGAATAACAGTCCACACAGGGCCAAGAAATCCTTTTCTTCTTTACCTTTCCTAGTGTATGTATGTGTGTGTGTCTGTATGTGTGTGTGTGTGTGTGTCCACATTAGTGATGTTGATACTATACAGTGAGGGATAAAGAATGCCTATAGGCCTATAGGTTCATCAGGGGGTTATCTTATATTCACCATGGTTCAATGTAAATATTGTATTACATCACCTGTAAGATACATTTTTTTTCACATTTAACATCTGCAGTATCAGGATGAGCCTCACACTCTACAACCTGCCATACTTTAACGGCAGTGATTTTTTGTTTTCTTGGTGATACACAAAATTAATGGTGTATATGACAATCAATGGTGTCCTCAATTCAATGACATGCAGTATCTGACTTGGATACTTGATATGCGCCTACAGCTGGGAAGGCAGAGCACACCTGCCAAAGTCTTCACAGGTCAAAATGTCAAGGTATTGCTCTTTGAAAACCCATCTATGCCACCTCTAGTATTACTGTCTAAATTACTGTTCTTCAGTGTGTCCACATATTATACAGCTAAGATTTATTGTCTTCTTACTGTCTAAATTACTTTATTACTGTCTAAATTACTGTTCTTCAGTGTGTCCACATATTATACAGCTAAGATTTATTGTCTTCTTACTACAGCCAGACAATATTCTAAGCACTTTACACATCTATCTTCACAACCCTGTGAAGTCGGTGTTATTACCCACTTTCAGTCTGGGTCCAGTCAGGAGACAGAAGCCATTTTAATTATTTAAACAGAGAAAATTGAATAGAAGAATTATTATCTAGGTATAAAGTTGATGACTAGGTCATAAAGGGGTAAAAAGAGGACGCTAAGTTATCAAAGAGGTAGCAACTGCAGGAAGCAGCTTCCATCTGTAGGCCTAGGGGAGCAAAAAGAAGAAGCTGGAATTGTTAACACTTAGAGATGTGGAGGAGGGGCGCTCCAAAGCTGAACCTCAGCTCCAAAGGTGCAGCTGCAGGTGTAGCTCCAGAGCTGGCACCTGCAGAGCACAGCTTCGTGGTGCACCGCTGGTGTCTCTGAGGGGGCACAGTGAAGCTGGCACTGCAGGTGTTGGAAAAACTGCAAATTGGACTCTGTTGCTGCTGTAGAAAAGAACTGCTACTGCTGCTGCTGCGATGAAGAAGCTTTTCAGAAATGATGCTCTCAGGAACAGGAAGCAGATGAGGAGAAACAAGTCCCTTCGTCCTTCTTAGCCCTTCCAGTCTCCCTCTAGTGCCCTCTCTTAGCAGGGCTAGGCAGACACTGGCAAAGCCAAAGTGTGGTCTATATAGTTTCAGCCCTGGCATCATAAAGCAGAGTATAAAAAGGTGTTTTGGAGACAAGAGAAAACTAACTCAATAGCTAGAACATATCCTTATTTTTACATATGAAGAAACTAATATACAAAACCAGTGAAAGTAGTGAGTACATTACCCAATATCACATGGATCTGAAGATACAAAGCCAAGATCTGAACCCAGGTCTGCCTGATTCCATAGTCTATATATTTAATGGCTACACAGATTTCTTTCCTATCAGTTGTCTTTCATGTGTTTCTTTTTCTCTTTTTCATTTATTCACCCAACAGCTATTTCTTGACTGTCTATGTCAGGCACTGTGCTTGCTCTGGGGAAAACAGCAGCAAACAAAAATGGACATTCTGTCCTCAAGGAACTGAAAATCCATTTCTATCTATTTCTGTTCTTATTTTGTTTTATTATGGCCCACTCCTCTCTCCTTCTCTGGATGCTTTTCTCTTTTTGTCAGTGTATCTTATCTGAAATTGTGAATTTCTGTCTTTTTCAATTATTTAATGTCTGCCCTTCTCTTCTTTGCTGTCCTGTTTTTTTGTAGCTTCAAGTCTGTCTTGGTCCTTTTCTCCTCTCATGTTACCTTCTTTTTCCTTCTTCATGATTCTGTCCATATTAACTGGCCAAAATGTGGACCCAAGTCTAGGTTCTGTTTGTGAGTTTTTTGGGGGACAAGTTTCACAAGCTCTGTTCTTAAAATCTTCTAAGTGAATGAGTGAAACTGCCTTAAAACACAGACAAATGTTCTGTGTTCTCTACCTTAAAACACAGACAAATGAAACCTAACTCAGTAGGCTTTTGCTTATTGACCTTTCATTTTCTTACGTGGCTAGCTTCTCCAAGGGAATCAGTCATTGAAAGACTAAAACAATAGATTGAAGGAAACACATCATTTATAATGGTTCTTGCAAACAGACTTTCTGACACGCCAGTCATGACCAGCACATTCTTTTCTGTTTAGAGAGTGACAGTGTGTGTAGTGGTTAAGGTTGGGGATCCAGACTACCTTGAGTTTGAACTCCAGGTCTTCCATTTTCTAGCTGTGTAGTATTAGGCAATTTACTCAGTCCCTCTATGCCTTGGTTTTCCTCATCTGCAAAATGGGAACAATAATATTGGCACCTACCTTACTAGTTTTGGGGAAGGATTAAGTGAATTAATATATAAAGAAATTCAGAAGAACATCTTGGTTATAGTAGTTATAACCAACTTACTGTTATTTATAACACAAGTTATATAATGGCAATAATGGTTTTCAATCTCACAGTCCTTTTATTCTGTTTCCCTAGACTCTAGATTACTGGTCTCCAGACTTTTTGAGTCATGAGCTCTCCTTTCTGTGGATCTGCTCACATAAGTGCTGAGGAAACACATAATGTCAAATAACTGCTGAGTCTGTCAGTTCTTCCCGGTTTTATATGACAGAAAACCAACTCAATTCAGCTTAACCAAAATGGGCTACATAACTGGGAAGCCCAGCTGTAGAACTGGCAGCCATGAGTAGTTCCAGAGCCTCACCAGGAAGCAGAGCCCCATGTCAGTCTCTCTCTTTGGTTTTTAATCCATTGTCTTCATTCCTTCCTACTGCAGTCAAGCCTTCTCCTGCTGGTGACCATGATGTCCTCTGGCAAACTGTGATTTTCACCTTTACAGCTACCCTAGGGAGTCACACTTACAAGCACTCCTCTTACAGAGAGTCTATGAGTATCTCAAGCTGAGGCCTCTCTCAGGGAAGTCCCTGCCCTCCTGCATAACTCTCTGTCCTTGGAAATTGGGGCAGCCTTGGTCTCTTCTGTTTATTGGGAATTTCAGCATCACCAGGGCCATGAGAGCAACTCGATTGTCCCCTTCACCATTTTGTTTTTCAGGTGAGCCTGGGTGCCATGATATGTATAAGACTCTTGGTGGCCAGTTTTGGTAATCCAGGATTCCCAAGAAAGGCCTGTATATTAGGCCCATGACCCAACTACACAGCACTGATACTACACCTGCCTAATGACTGATTGCATTTTGAAGAGGCTTTCATGTGACAGCACTAGACAGGAGAGAAGTGTAGGAAAGTAGCAAACTACTAGGCATTGGGCATTCTTTGCCAATTCAAATTTTAGTGTCAGAAACATCATATGTCATTTCTGCCCATTTCTTCTCTCTCCTTATATCTTATACCTGCCATCCTGCCTTTTCTTTTTCCAGGTAAGCAGACAGTGGACCTCTAATGAACACATTTTTCAAAGATCTAGCCTAACCTCTGAACATCTTTAGTCACTGAGTTAAGCAATACAAACAATTAAATTAAATGTGCTAGGTTTCTAAAACTGTGTAGAGACTTGTAGTGTCCTTAAATAGTCTCAGTTGTTTATATAAAAAGCAGTTATTAACAGGCAAGGATTAGGACATAAGTATCTAGTCACACAGTTCTTAGTTCTCAAAAACATTCAGAGAAGTTAACCAACAGGCCGCAACTGTGCTTCTAATTCTAAAGAGCTGCTTGGGTAGGGTGTCTCCCTGTCTCCATGTTAGGTTTTCCTGTTCTCTTTTCTTATCAGGGTCTTCCTTGACACAGTCTGTTCTCAAGGCCTGAGCAGCTCCCTCAGCCACTGAGCATGGGGGCCCTGGCAAAGGAGAGGGTGTGGATTTGCCAGGAAGGATAAAGGTGAGTTCTTCAGAGTAGGGCCACGCACTGAGAAACCAGGAAGAGCCCAATAAGCTTGTCACCTCTCCAGTTTCCTTAATGGGACTTTGAGTACTAAGGGGAGAGATAGTGAATGAGAGAGCAGAGGTGGCTGCAAGGCAGCAGCCCCTGATCCTTGAGGGGCTGGAAGACTTGGACGGCAGAGGCAGTGAGTTCTGCTTCAGGATCCCAGCCAAAGGAATTAGGAACTGGGTGGCCAGGACAGCTGTTTCTGAGCTCTGAAAAGTTAAGCCTGGCCAAGGATTCATGGTGTGCTGCCCTGGAAACTAGTCAAAGGCTCTCATCAAGAGCCTCTGGGAAGCTGTTTGTATAAATTGCTCTAGGTCATGCATTGGTCTTCCACATCTGCTGCCCCAGTGACTTCCCAGTGCTAATTTCTGGTGAAGGAGGAAAAGACTGCCTGTGCCCACAACGTCATCCTTCAGAAGGTGGGCAGGTGGGAGCAAGCGGTGTGGGAAGAGGGCCAAGGGGTCTAGGGCCCTGCGTTCTACCTTACCTCTGCCTCGCAGCCTGTGCAGCGTGTGTCGCCAAGTGGCTCTGTGGCAGAGGAGAGAGGAGGAGGGAGGAGGAGGCAGGAGGAGGCAGCAGGAGGCAGGAAGAGGCCCAGCTCTTCACTCTTCACTTCTCAGGGAGGTCATGAAGGTGCCCAAGGAAAGTCATATTTTATTTCTGACAAAAATTTGGTTGAGGGCCAGGAAAGTAATTCATTTTATTTTTGGTGGGATCTTTTAGGAAGGGACAAATACAAAATGTTCTCATTCATCTGCTTTAAAATTTAAAGCAGGGACTATTTAAGCAAAATGTTGAGTAAAACCAATAATCAATGAAAAACACATATAGCGGTTCCTCATCTGTTAAACTTTGGACAGGGATGACATGCCCCCAAAACAAATTTAAATGTCCCATAACCTTTTTCTTTTTACACTTAAAAACATTATGTATTTTACTGACTTTTCAACCAGATTATATGGCTTACAATCTAATCTTCTTTTGGCGAATCAGCATTGTACTTATACATCAATTACAGTAAATATCTTCAGATTCCTTTGCTTTTTCTAATTTTCTTTCTGTCATCTCTGCTAGGCTTTCTCTTATTGCTACCATAAGTGTTGTCCTCTAGAAGCAGATTACATTCCTTCCTTTTTTGTTCTAATTGTTTGTTCGTATTATAGGCAAGAAAATAGATGAGCTTATTAGAATTCTAGAAGAAAGTGTGAGCGGGATGGCTACCGGAGCCCACAGACCCTGACTTTTAGGTAAAGGCACAGAGACACACATCAGCACATATGGACATTTTTTTCTATAAAAGGAGTTTAGATTAATGCATTAAATATTTTTGAAACTCCCTCTATATGCCAGGCACTTGGCTAGGCACTGGCTGTCAAATAGAAATAATTCCCAGTATCTTTCCTTGAAACATAGACAGTTCATGGGGCATGATGCTTTGTAATAATCAGACGCCTCATCATGGTTCTTGAAAGATATTTTAATGTGATAAATAACTGCCAAGGAAGTGCTACTGACTACTAAAGAGGGGCCTTAGACAGATCTGAACATTAGGAGGGCCTCAAGGAAGAGTCCTCCCTCAGATGGAGTCCCAAGAGATTACATTTATACCTAAATCTCAGAGTAAATTGAGATTTGTCAAACAAATAAATACCATACAGCCTTTAAAATGTTGGCTAAAAAAAGAATTGTGCAAACAAATTACCCACAATATGAATGCACTTATATAAATTCTAAAAACACACAAATACTATATATATTTACTGGAACACATAAATAAAGCAAAAGTATTTATACATGGGAAGGAGACAAAGCAACTTTAGGATAGTCGTGATCTCTGGGAAAGAGGGAGGGGAATAGAATTAAGGAGAGACATCAAAGGGCCTACAACTTTTTCTGTAATCTTTATCTCCTTATTAAGAACAGAAAAGGCCAGGTGCAGTGGCTCACACCTGTAATCCCAGCACTTTGGGAGGCTAAGGCAGGTAGATCACTTGAGGCCAGGAGTTCGAGACCAGCCTGGCAAACATGGCAAAACCCCACCTCTTCTAAAAAATACAAAAATTAACCAGGAATGGTGGCATGCACCTGTAATCCCAGGTACTCGGGAGGCTGAGGCAGAAGAATCGCTTGAATCTAGGATGTGGAGGTTGCAGTGAGCCGAGATCATGCCACTGCACCCCAGCCTGGGTGATAGAGCCAGACTGTCTCAAAAAAGAAAAAAAAAAAAAGAACAGAAATAAAGTAAATGTGCCATGCCAAAATGTTTAACTATCACTGGATTCAGGTGGTGTGAATAAGCATATTGTTATCTATACCATTCAAAATATTTCCTAATATGTATTAGTTTCCTAATAAACAGAAAACTAAGAGGAAAAAATCCTCAAGCCTTTCTATTGAAATATAAGGTGGTTCTCCTTCTAATACCAGGGACCTGGAACCTGTCCATACATTTTACTCAGCTGACCTATTGCTATAATGTGGGAAGCATTGTTATTTACACGTGTCTGCTTTGCTGTGGGCTTATTTATGCCTAGACCCCCCTCTTCTCTCCCATTAGATGTAAACCCTTCAAAAGCAGGAAGCAGAACCATTGTACACACACTGAACTGGCTGGTTTAAGATTCCCTTTGTGCCCCCAGAATTAGCCGTGTCTTGCTTGTAATTGGAATTTGGTAAAGATTTTTTGGGTGAGTGAGTTCAAGCTGACTTCCCTTGAGCTCCACTACTGTAAGCTCCAGGATAAGTGCTGCCCTCAGGGAGCTCACATGCTGGAGACAAGACAGACACAGACACCTACCTGACTGGACAAAAGGATGACCTAGTGTGGCAGGTGCAAAGCCCAGGTGATTAATTCTGACCACAATGGCTGGGGGAGGGGGGGCATACTGTGATTAAATTTCCCACATATTGGTGATCTTCTTTGCAGTAAGAGATTGCTTGCCCCAAAGACTTGGTTAAAATATGAATCTCTTGACACTTCAAATAGATCACCTAAGACAGAACACTGGAATCCAACAAGAAGTTTACAGGAAACCCTTAAGGCAAGGAGGGAGAGGTAAGTGAGGCAGCCTGCTAGGCTAGAATTGGCTGGGAGCCTAGAGAGGTCCCCTCATGTGGATAAAGGGTAGTGAGAGACACCCCCCTGCCCCCGAGAAGTCCACCTTTCCACTGCTCCTACAATCCTAGCCACAGGAGAGGCCCTCAACCCTTGTGGGCCCTGAGATGAATATAGGGAACTTCCCAGAGTCTGTGTGACTGCATTGCTTCAGAGAGGGAGATCACGGTGGGTCTCACACACCCCATGAGTCCTATGAAGCTACAGAATGGCACAATTTTGGGACCCTAGTCCCCACCAGACTGCATACTGCCCTTGGGCCCAATAGCCTCTGCATCATCCCTGGAGCCCCATTGACAATCTCTTCCTGGAGCTGCTGCCACTGCTAGCTGCTGCCAGGGCTGAAGCAGGAACCATTAGTAGCAACCCTGCTGCTCCCAGCAATGAGAGGCTGTGCATTTTCATGTGCCTTTAGGACAGACTCCTCCACCTGCAGCCAATGTGACTGCTGGCTGTTGCTGCTGGGGCAGAAACATGAACGACTGGCAAGCAATCCTGCTACCCCCAGCAGTGAGGCCACCATTCATTTACAAGTACCCCCAAAACAGGCTCCCTTCTTGGCAGCCACCACCTGGGGATGAGGTGCACACTCCCCAGCTGTCTGCCTGTGGCTGCTGCTACTGAAACCAATCCTGCCCTCCCGAGCAGGAGAACCACAGCACAGCTGCTGCTACTCCCATCTGAGCATTACACTGGGGGTCAGGGGATTATCCTGCCCTGCCTCCCACAGGAAACACCCACAAGCACCATGGAGGCCCTGAAGACAGGTTTGCCTGGCCTGGTTCTGTGTGCCCTAGCAGGCCCAAGCATGCCATCCAAGGGCCTGAGGATTGCCCTACCCCATCCACCACCATAGGCACTTAAGCCCTTCTCCCAGAAGTCTGAGGATGGCCCACTCAACCTGCTGCTACCATCACAGCTGGAACCCAACTGCTCACACCATCTGTGGGCCTGGGGACTGGCCCAGTCAACTTGTCACAGCCACCATCAACACCAGTGTGAACCATTTAGGAGCCAGAAGTTGTCCTACCACTGCTATTGCCATCACCCATGCCACACCCACTGCCCCAAAACCCAAGGGCACACCCACCCTCCTGCTTACTGCTGACACTGCTGGCACGCAAGAAAGCCACCTGGAGGCCAAAGAATCAGGCCATCTGGACATGATAACACAGGTTCCAACATATACCACCCTGGGGCCCAAGGATGAGCATTTGGCCGGTCACTGTCTGCCACTGGGGCCTGAGGACTGGCCTACCTGGCATCCCTATCCCCAGCAAAACTTCACTACAGTCTTCACTAACAACTGCATCCCAATCCATTGAGAAAAGCCACAGGCATTATCAATACTATCTACTGAAGAAATCATATGGATACTACACTATCATGCACACCCAGAATAAAAGCAAAAGTGCCCTATTCCACCAACACCATAGAAACATCTTCAGGAATAAGTCCTCCTTCATGAAAACAAATCCAAAAAATTGGAAGAAGGAACTGTCAAACTAGACATGCAGATATCAATGTAAAGACACAAGAAACATGACAAAGCAAGGAAATATGACACTCCAAAGGAACACAATAATTTTCCAGTAAAATAATTCAATGAAAAAGAAGTTTATGAATTCCCAGAAAAAGAATTCAAAATAATAATATTAAAGAAGCTCAGTGAGATACCAAAGAACACACTAAACAATACAAGTAAATCAAAGAAACAGTTCAGAATATGAATGAGAAATTTATCAAAGAGATAGGTATCATAAAAAGAACTAAACAGAAATCCTGAAACTCAAAAATTCATTGAATGAAATAAAAAAAATCTAAAAGCTTCAATAATAGACTAGATGAAGCAGAAGAAACAATTTAGAACTTGAAGATAGGTCTTTTGAAATAACCCATTAGACAAAAAATTTTAAAAGGAATAAAAAAGCATGAAGAAAGCCTGTGTGACATATGGAACACCATAAAGCAACCAAATATTCAAATATTCAGTGTCCAGGAAGGCAAGGGGAAAGTGAATGGAATAGAAAAACTATTTAACAAAATAATAGCTGAAAACTTCCCCACTCTTGCAAGAGGTTTAGACATCCAGATACTGGAAGTGCAAAGGTTCCTAAATACACACAATTCGAGAAGGTCTTCTCTGTGGCATCTGCTGTAGTTTTGTTTGTTTGACTCCTCCAAATTTTATGTTGAAATTTGATCCCTAATGTTGGAGGTAAGCCTTTGGGAGGTGTTTGAGTCATAAGGCTGGATTCCTCATAAATGGCTTGGTGCCATCCTCATGATAAAAATTGAGTTCTCATTTTATTATTTCCTATGAGAGCTGATTGTTTAAAAGTCTGTCACCTCCCCGCCTCTTTTTCCTGCTTCTTCTCTCATCAACTGTTCTCTGCACATGCCAACTTTAGTGGAAGTTGTCTGAAACCATCATCAGAAGCAGGTGCTGGAACCATGTTTTTGGTTCAGCCTGCAGAACTGTGAGCCAAATAAACATCTTTTCTTTATAAATTACTAAGCCTCAGGTATTCCTTTGTAGCAATACACCAATGGACATAGACAGTACACAATAATCAAACTGTCAAAAGTCAAAGACAGGGTATTCTAAGAATAGCAAGAGGCCAGGCATGGTTGCTCACACCTGTAATCCCACAGTTTGGGAGGCCAAGCTGGGTGGATCACTTGAGGTCAGGAGTTCAAGACCAGCCTGGCCAACATGGTGAAACCCTGTCTCTACTAAAAATATAAAAATTAACCAGGCACAGTGGCACATGCCTGTAATCCCAGCTACTTGGAAGGCTGAGGCAGGAGAATTGCTTGAACCTGGGAGGTTAAGGTTGTAGTGAGCCAAGATCATGCGGCTGTACTTCAGCCCGGGTGAAAGAGTGAGACTCTGTCTCAAAAAATAAAAAATAAAAATAGCAAGAGAAATACAAGAGAATCTCCATCAGACTAGCAACAGATTTCTCAGCAGAAACCTTATAAGCCAAAAGAGAATGGGAAAAGATATTCAAAGTGCTGAAAGAAGAAAAACGGTCAGGCAAGAATACCATACTCAACAAAGTTATTTTTCACAAATGAAGGAGAGATAAAGGCTTTCCCAGACAAGCAAAAGCTGAGGGAATTTATCACCACTAGACTAGCTCAACAAAGAATTCTTATCAGAGTCCTGCATTTTGAAGTGAAAGGATGATACATGTCATCATGAAAACACACGAAAATATAAAGCCCACTGAGTAGAACACACATACAAATAAGAAGAGAAAGGACTTAAATGTTACCAACTAAGAAAAACAATGATAAACAATGAGAGAGAAGAAAATAAACAAAGGCTATACAAAAAAACCTAGAAATCAATTAATAAAATGACAGGAATAAGTCCTCACATATCAATAATAATCTTGAATATCAACAAATTAGGCTTTCCAATTAAAAGATATAGACTTGTTGAATGGATAGAAAACATGGCCCAACTATATGCTGCCTACAAGAAACTCATGTCACCTTAAAAGACTTATAGGCTAAAAATAAAGGGATGGAAAAAGATATTCCATGCAAACAGAAACCAAAAGTGAGTAGAAGTAGTTATACTTACATCAGATAAGACTAACTTTAAGTTAAAAGCCACAAAAAAAGAAAAAGAAGGTCATTTTATAATGATAAAAACATCAGTTCAGCATGAGGATATAGCAATTCTAAACATATATGCCCCAAACACCAGAGCATGCAGAGTCATAAAGCAAATATTACTATGTCTGAAAAGAGAGATAGACTTCAATATAATAATAGTTGGAGACTTCAACACCCCACTCTCAGCAATAGTTACATCATCTAGGCAGAAAATGAACAAGGAAACACTGGATTTAAGCTACACTTTAGACCAAGTGCATCTAACAGACATTTGCACAACATTTCATTTAACAGCTACAGAATACACATTCTTCTCATCATTACATGGAACATTCTTGCAGATAAACCATATGTTAGCTCAAAACAAGTCTCAAAAAATTTTTAAAAATGAAAATCATATCAAGTATCTTTTCAGATCACAATAGAATGAAACTAATAATCAATAACAAGAGGAACATTGGAAATTGTATAAATACATAAAGGTTAATCAGCATGCTCCTGAGTGAAGGAAGAAATTAAGGAGGAAATCAAAAAATTTTTTTAAAACAAATGAAAATGGAAACACGACATACCAAAACCTGTGGGATACAACAAAAACAGTGCTAAGAGGGGAGCATAGCACTAAATGCCTACATTTAAAAAGTGGAAAGGCAGAGCAAGATGGTTGAATAGAAGCCTCTATTGATGGTCCCCCAATAGGAACACACCAAATTTAACAACAATGTACATAAAAAAAGCACCTTCATGAGAACAAAAAATCAGATGAGCTATCACAGTACCTGGTTTTAGCTTCATATTGCTGAAAGAGGCACTGAAGAGGGTAAGAAAGATGGTCTTGAGTCATTGACACCACACCTCCCTCATTTCCCAGCAGCAGTTACTTGGTGTGGAGAGACAATCTGTGCACTTGGGGGAGGGACAGCACAGCAACTGTAGGACTTTGCATTGAACTCAATGTGGCCCTATCACAGCAGAAAGAACACTTGGCTGAACTCAGCCAATGCCTGACCACAGAGGGAGCATTTAGAGCAGCCCTAGCCAGAGGGGGATTGTCCATCCTAGCAGTCAGAGATTGAGTTTTGGCAAGCCTCACCACCATAAGCTAGAGTCCTCTGGGGTCCTAAATAAATGTGAAAGGTAGTCTAGTACACAAGAACTGCAATTCTTAGGCAAGTCTAGTGCTGTGCTGGGGTTGGAGCTAGTGGAGTTGAGGGGCAAGTGATCTAGTGAGACACCAGCTGGGACAGCAAAGGGAGTGCTTGTGCCACCCCTCCCTCAGCCTCAGGCAGTACAGTGTCTTCTGCTTGAGGAAAGAATGAAGAGTAAAAAGGACTTTCTCTTGCATCTTGGATACCAGCTCAACCACAGCAAGATAGGGCACCAGGCAGTCATGAGGCCCCCTTTCCAGGTCCTAACTCTCAGACAACATTTCTGGACACATCCTGGGCTAGAAGGGAATCTATTGCCTTGAAGGGAAGGATTTAGTCCTGGCAGGATTCAGCACCTTCTAACTGAAGAGCCCTTGGGCTCAGAATAACCAGCAGTGATACCATGGGCCTTGGGTGAGACTCTGACATGTGCTGGTTTCGTATGAGATCCAACATAGTCCCAGCTGTGGTGGTTATGGGGATATAATCCTTCTGCTTGAGAAAAGCAGAGGGGAAAGTAAAGGGGACTTTGTCTTGCACCTGCCACAGTGGGATAGAGCAACAAGTGGGCTCTTGGGGTCCCTGATTCCAAGACTTGGCTCTTGAATGGCATTTTTGGAACTGTCCTAGGCCAGAGGGGAGCCCACTGCCTTGAAGGATGAGTTTGACACCTGGCAGCATTCACAAGCTGACTGAAGAGCACTTGGGCCTTAAGTGAACATTGGCAGTAGCCTGGAAGTACTCACCATGGGCCTGTGGTGGTGGTAGCCATGGGGTGAGGCTCCCCTGCCTATGGAAAGGGGAGGAAAGAGTGGGAAGGACTTTGTCTCATGGTTTGAGTGCCAGCTTAACCACAGTAGAATAGAGCAAGAGTACCAGGTAGATTTCTAAGGTTTTTTATTGCAGTCCCTGGCTCCTGGATAGCATCTCTGGACCAACCTGGGGTCTGGGGGATCTTGCTGCTCTGAGGGGAATGATATAAGCCTGGCTGGCTTCACTACCTGCTGATTGTAGAGCACTTGGTCCTTGAGCAAACATTGGTGGTAGTGAGGTGGTGGTTACAGCAGGCCTTGGGCAAGACACAGTACTGTGCTAGCTCCAAGTCTCCCCCAGTGCAGTCCCAGTGGTGGTGGCCACAGGGGTGCTTGCATCACCATATCCTGTTTCAGGTGCCTCAGCAGACACAGAGAGAGAGAGAGAGAGAGAGAGAGAGAGGCTCCATTTATTTTAGAGAAAGTAAGGCCCGAGAGCAAGAGTCTCTGCATGGTAATCCACAGAATTCTTCTGGATCAAATTTAAGATCACCAACGCATAATCTCTATGAGCCTGCAAGAACCACAGTGTTACTGGGTTTGGTGTGCCCCTAATGCAGATAAGGCTTAGATCACAATTCACAGGTCCCTTTGAATACCTGGAAAGCATTCTTAGCAAGTATAGGTATAAACAAGCCCAGACAACAAAGACTACAATGAATACCTAATTTTTCAATGCCCAGACACCAAAGAAAGATAAGCATCAAGGCTATTCAAGAAAACATGGCCTTACCCAATGAACTAAATAGGGCATGAGGACCCAATCCTGGAGAAGCATAGATATATGTGACTTTTCAGACAAAAAATTCAAAATAGCTGTTTTGAGAAAGCTCAAATAAATTTAAGATAACACAGAGAAATAATTCAGAATTCTATCAGATAAATTTAACAAAAAGATTGAAAGAACTTTAAAGAATGAAAGGAAAAATTCTGGAGTTGAAAATGCAATTGACATAGTGAAGAATTCATCAGTCTCCTGACAGCATAATTGATCAAGCAGAAGAAAAAACAATGGTGAACTTGAAGATAGGCTATTTGAAAATATACAGTCAGTGGAGACAAAATAAAGAAGGAAGGACACTTACATGATCTAGAAAAAAGCCTCAAATGGGCAAATCTAAGAGTTCTTGGCTTTAAAGAGGAGGTAGAGAAAGAGGTAAGTATAGAAAGTTCAAAGGGACAATAACAAAGAACGTCCCAAACTTAGAGAAAGATACCAATATTCAAGTACAAGAAGGTTCTAGAACACCAAGTAGATTTAACTCAAAGAAAACTACCTCCAAGACACTTAATAATAAAACTCCCAAAGGTCGAGGATAAATAAAGTTTCCTAAAAGCAGCAAGAGAAAAGAAACAAATAACACATTATGGAGCTCCAATACATCTCTCAGCAGACATTTCAGTGGAAACCTTACAGGCCAGGAGAGAATGGCATGACATTTTAAAGTGCTGAAAGAGAAAAACTTTCACCCTACAATAGCATATCTGGCAAAATATCTTTCAAACCTGAAAGAGAAATAAAACCCCAGACAAATAAAAGCTGGGAGATTTCATCAACACCAGACCTGTCCTATGAGAAATGCTAAAGGGAGTTGTTCAATCAGAAAGAGAAGGATGTTACTGAGCAATAAGAAATCACCTGAAGGTACAAAACTGACTAGTAATAGTAAGTACACAGAAAAACACAGAATATGATAACACTAAATTTGGTGCATAAGTTATTCTTAAGTAGAAAGACTAAAAGATGAGCCAATTAAAAAATGATAACTACAGCTTTTAAGACACAGCACAATAAGACAAAAAGAATGATGGCCGAATAGGAACAGCTCCAGTCTACAGCTCCCAGCGTGAGCGACGCAGAAGACGGGTGATTTCTGCATTTCCATCTGAGGTACCGGGTTCATCTCACTAGGGAGTGCCAGACAGTGGGCGCAGGCCAGTGGGTGCGCGCACCGGGTGCGAGCCGAAGCAGGGCGAGGCATTGCCTCACCTGGGAAGCGCAAGGGGCCAGGGAGTTCCCTTTCTGAGTCAAAGAAAGGGGTGACGGACGCACCTGGAAAATCGGGTCACTCCCACCCGAATATTGCACTTTTCAGACCGGCTTAAAAAACGGCGCACCACGAGACTATATCCCACACCTGGCTCGGAGGGTACTACGCCCACGGAATCTCGCTGATTGCTAGCACAGCAGTCTGAGATCAAACTGCAAGGCGGCAGCGAGGCTGGGGGAGGGGCGCCCGCCATTGCCCAGGCTTGCTTAGGTAAACAAAGCAGCCGGGAAGCTCGAACTGGGTGGAGCCCACCACAGCTCAAGGAGGCATGCCTGCCTGTGTAGGCTCCATCTCTGGGGGCAGGGCACAGACAAACAAAAAGACAGCGGTAACCTCTGCAGACTTAAATGTCCCTGTCTGACAGCTTTGAAGAGAGCAGTGGTTCTCCCAGCACGCAGCTGGAGATCTGAGAACGGGCAGACTGCCTCCTCAAGTGGGTCCCTGACCCCTGACCCCCGAGCAGCCTAACTGGGAGGCACCCCCCAGCAGGGGCACACTGACACCTCACACGGCAGGGTATTCCAACAGACCTGCAGCTGAGGGTCCTGTCTGTTAGAAGGAAAACTAACAAACAGAAAGGACATCCACACCGAAAACCCATCTGTACATCACCATCATCAAAGACCAAAAGTAGATAAAACCACAAAGATGGGGAAAAAACAGAACAGAAAAACTGGAAACTCTAAAATGCAGAGCGCCTCTCCTCCTCCAAAGGAACGCAGTTCCTCACCAGCAACGGAACAAAGCTGGATGGAGAATGACTTTGACGAGCTGAGAGAAGAAGGCTTCAGATGATCAAATTACTCTGAGCTACGGGAGGACATTCAAACCAAAGGCAAAGAAGTTGAAAACTTTGAAAAAAATTTAGAAGAATGTATAACTAGAATAACCAATACAGAGAAGTGCTTAAAGGAGCTGATGGAGCTGAAAACCAAGGCTCGAGAACTACGTGAAGAATGCAGAAGCCTCAGGAGCCGATGCGATCAACTGGAAGAAAGGGTATCAGCAATGGAAGATGAAATGAATGAAATGAAGCGAGAAGGGAAGGTTAGAGAAAAAAGAATAAAAAGAAATGAGCAAAGCCTCCAAGAAATATGGGACTATGTGAAAAGACCAAATCTACGTCTGATTGGTGTACCTGAAAGTGATGCGGAGAATGGAACCAAGTTGGAAAACACTCTACAGGATATTATCCAGGAGAACTTCCCCAATCTAGCAAGGCAGGCCAACGTTCAGATTCAGGAAATACAGAGAACGCCACAAAGATACTCCTCGAGAAGAGCAACTCCAAGACACATAATTGTCAGATTCACCGAAGTTGAAATGAAGGAAAAAATGTAAAGGGCAGCCAGAGAGAAAGGTTGGGTTACCCTCAAAGGGAAGCCCATCAGACTAACAGTGGATCTCTCGGCAGAAACCCTACAAGCCAGAAGAGAGTGGGGACCAATATTCAACATTCTTAAAGAAAAGAATTTTCACCCCAGAATTTCATATCCAGCCAAACTAAGCTTCATAAGTGAAGGAGAAATAAAATACTTTACAGACAAGCAAATGCTGAGAGATTTTGTCACCACCAGGCCTGCCCTAAAAGAGCTCCTGAAGGAAGCGCTAAACATGGAAAGGAACAACCGGTACCAGCCGCTGCAAAATCATGCCAAAATGTAAAGACCATCGAGACTAGGAAGAAACTGCATCAACTAACGAGCAAAATAACCAGCTAACATCATAATGACAGGATCAAATTCACACATAACAATATTAACTTTAAATGTAAATGGACTAAATGCTCCAATTAAAAGACACAGACTGGCAAGTTGGATAAAGAGTCAAGACCCATCAGTGTGCTGTATTCAGGAAACCCATCTCATGTGCAGAGACACACATAGGCTCAAAATAAAAGGATGGAGGAAGATCTACCAAGCAAATGGAAAACAAAAAAAGGCAGGGGTTGCAATCCTAGTCTCTGATAAAACAGACTTTAAACCAACAAAGATCAAAAGAGACAAAGAAGGCCATTACATAATGGTAAAGGGATCAATTCAACAAGAGGAGCTAACTATCCTAAATATATATGCACCCAATACAGGAGCACCCAGATTCATAAAGCAAGTCCTGAGTGACCTACAAAGAGACTTAGACTCCCACACATTAATAATGGGAGACTTTAACACCCCACTGTCAACATTAGACAGATCAACGAGACAGAAAGTCAACAAGGATACCCAGGAATTGAACTCAGCTCTGTACCAAGCGGACCTAATAGACATCTACAGAACTCTCCACCCCAAATCAACAGAATATACATTCTTTTCAGCACCACACCACACCTATTCCAAAATTGACCACATAGTTGGAAGTAAAGTTCTCCTCAGCAAATGTAAAAGAACACAAATTATAACAAACTATCTCTCAGACCACAGTGCAATCAAACTAGAACTCAGGATTAAGAATCCCACTCAAAGCTGCTCAACTACATGGAAACTGAACAACCTGCTCCTGAATGACTACTGGGTACATAACGAAATGAAGGCAGAAATAAAGATGTTCTTTGAAACCAACGAGAACAAAGACACAACATACCAGAATCTCTGGGACGCATTCAAAGCAGTGTGTAGAGGGAAATTTATAGCACTGAATGCCCACAAGAGAAAGCAGGAAAGATCCAAAATTGACACCCTAACATCACAATTAAAAGAACTAGAAAAGCAAGAGCAAACACATTCAAAAGCTAGCAGAAGGCAAGAAATAACTAAAATCAGAGCAGAACTGAAGGAAATAGAGACACAAAAAACCCTTCAAAAAATCAATGAATCCAGGAGCTGGTTTTTTGAAAGGATCAACAAAATTGATAGACCGCTAGCAAGACTAATAAAGAAAAAAAGAGAGAAGAATCAAATAGACACAATAAAATATGATAAAGGGGATATCACCACTGATCCCACAGAAATACAAACTACCATCAGAGAATACTACAAACACCTCTACGCAAATAAACTAGAAAATCTAGAAGAAATGGATACATTCCTCGACACATACACTCTCCCAAGACTAAACCAGGAAGAAGTTGAATCTCTGAATAGACCAATAACAGGAGCTGAAATTGGGGCAATAATCAATAGTTTACCAACCAAAAAGAGTCCAGGACCAGATGGATTCACAGCCGAATTCTACCAGAGGTACAAGGAGGAACTGGTACCATTCCTTCTGAAACTATTCCAATCAATAGAAAAAGAGGGAATCCTCCCTAACTCATTTTATGAGGCCAGCATCATTCTGATACCAAAGCCGGGCAGAGACACAACCAAAAAAGAGAATTTTAGACCAATATCCTTGATGAACATTGATGCAAAAATCCTCAATAAAATACTGACAAACGGAATCCAGCAGCACATCAAAAAGCTTATCCACCATGATCAAGTGGGCTTCATCCCTGGGATGCAAGGCTGGTTCAATATATGCAAATCAATAAATGTAATCCAGTATATAAACAGAGCCAAAGACAAAAACCACATGATTATCTCAATAGATGCAGAAAAAGCCTTTGACAAAATTCAACAACCCTTCATGCTAAAAACTCTCAATAAATTAGGTATTGATGGGACGTATTTCAAAATAATAAGAGCTATCTATGACAAACCCACAGCCAATATCATACTGAATGGGCAAAAACTGGAAGCATTCCCTTTGAAAACTGGCACAAGACAGGGATGCCCTCTCTCACCACTCCTATTCAATGTAGTGTTGGAAGTTCTGGCCAGGGCTATCAGTCAGGAGAAGGAAATAAAGGGTATTCAATTAGGAAAAGAGGAAGTCAAATTGTCCCTGTTTGCAGACGACATGATTGTTCATCTAGAAATCCCCATCGTCTCAGCCCAAAATCTCCTTAAGCTGATAAGCAACTTCAGCAAAGTCTCAGGATACAAAATCAATGTACAAAAATCACAAGCATTCTTATACACCAGCAACAGACAAACAGAGAGCCAAATCATGAGTGAACTCCCATTCACAATTGCTTCAAAGAGAATAAAATACCTAGGAATCCAACTTACAAGGGATATGAAGGACCTCTTCAAGGAGAATTACAAACCACTGCTCAAGGAAATAAAAGAGGATACAAACAAATGGAAGAACATTCCATGCTCATGGGTAGGAAGAATCAATATCGTGAAAATGGCCATACTGCCCAAGGTAATTTACAGATTCAATGCCATCCCCATCAAGCTACCAATGACTTTCTTCACAGAATTGGAAAAAACTACTTTAAAGTTCATATGGAACCAAAAAAGAGCCCGCATCGCCAAGTCAACCCTAAGCCAAAAGAACAAAGCTGGAGGCATCACACTACCTGACTTCAAACTATACTACAAGCCTACAGTAACCAAAACAGCATGGTACTGGTACCAAAACAGAGATATAGATCAATGGAACAGAACAGAGCCCTCAGAAATAACGCCGCATACCTACAACTATCGGATCTTTGACAAACCTGAGAAAAACAAGCAATGGGGAAAGGATTCCCTATTTAATAAATGGTGCTGGGAAAACTGGCTAGCCATATGTAGAAAGCTGAAACTGGATCCCTTCCTTACACCTTATACAAAAATCAATTCAAGATGGATTAAAGATTTAAATGTTAGACCTAAAACCATAAAAACCCTAGAAGAAAACCTAGGCATTACCATTCAGGACATAGGCATGGGCAAGGACTTCATGTCCAAAACACCAAAAGCAATGGCAACAAAAGCCAAAATTGACAAATGGGATCTAATTAAACTAAAGAGCTTCTGCACAGCAAAAGAAACTACCATCAGAGTGAACAGGCAACCTACAGAATGGGAGAAAATTTTCGCAACCTACTCATCTGACAAAGGGCTAATATCCAGAATCTACAATGAACTCAAACAAATTTACAAGAAAAAAAAAAACAACCCCATCAAAAAGTGGGCGAAGGACATGAACAGACACTTCTCAAAAGAAGACATTTATGCAGCCAAAAAACACATGAAAAAATGCTCATCATCACTGGCCATTAGAGAAATGCAAATCAAAACCACTATGAGATATCATCTCACACCAGTTAGAATGGCAATCATTAAAAAGTCAGGAAACAACAGGTGCTGGAGAGGATGTGGAGAAATAGGAACACTTTTACACTGTTGGTGGGACTGTAAACTAGTTCAACCATTGTGGAAGTCAGTGTGGCGATTCCTCAGGGATCTAAAACTAGAAATACCATTTGACCCAGCCATCCCATTACTGGGTATATACCCAAATGACTATAAATCATGCTGCTATAAAGACACATGCACACGTATGTTTATTGCAGCATTATTCACAATAGCAAAGACTTGGAACCTACCCAAATGTCCAACAATGATAGACTGGATTAAGAAAATGTGGCACATATACACCATGGAATACTATGCAGCCATAAAAAATGATGAGTTCATGTCCTTTGTAGGGACATGGATGAAATTGGAAATCATCATTCTCAGTAAACTATCGCAAGAACAAAAAACCAAACACCGCATATTCTCACTCATGGGTGGGAACTGAACAATGAGATCACATGGACACGTGGAGGGGAATATCACACTCTGGAGACTGTGGTGGGGTGGGGGGAGCGGGGAGGGATAGCATTGGGAGATATACCTAAGGCTAGATGACGAGTTAGTGGGTGCAGCGCACCAGCATGGCACATGTATACATATGTAACTAACCTGCACAATGTGCACATGTACCCTAAAACTTAAAGTATAATAAAAAAGAAATAAAAATAAAATAAAATAAAATAAAAAGACAAAAGGAAAAACAAAAATTTAAAAAGTGGAAATTAAAGTGTAGAGTTTTTTTAGTTTTTTTTAGTTTTATTTGTTTGTTTATGTAATCAGTGTTAAATTGTCATCAGTTTAAGATAATGGGTTATAAGATAGTATTTGCAAGCCTCACTTTAATCTCAAATCAAAAAACATACAATGAATACACATACCAAAAAAGCAAAAAATTAAATTACACCACCAGAAAAAATAACTTTCACTGAAAGGATGACAGGAAGGAAGAAAAAAAAGAAGAGAAGACCACAAAACAATCTGAAAACAAATAACAAAATGGCAGGAGTAAGTCTTTACTTATCAATAAAAACATGGAATGTAAATGGACTAAACCCTCCCATCAAAAGACATAGAGTGGCAGAATGGATTAAAATAAAACAAAAAACAAGATCCAATGACTTGTTACCTACAAGAAACTCACTTCACCTATGAAGACACACATAGACTGAAAACAAATGGATGGAAAAAGATATTCCATGCCAATGAAAACAAAAAAGCCGGAGTAGCTATACTTATATCAGACAAAATAGATTGCAAGTCAAAAACAATAGGAAGAGACAAAGAAGGTCATTATATAATGATAAAGGGGTCAATTCAGCAAGAGAATATAAGAATTTTAAATATAAATGCACCCAACACTGGAGCACCTAGATATATAAAGCAAATATTACTAGAGCTAAAGAGAGATAGACCACACCATGATACAATAATACCTAGAGACTTCAATACACCACTTTCAGCATTGGACAGATCTTCCAGACAGAAAATCAACAAGGAAACATCAGACTTAATCTGCACGGTAGACCAAATGGACCTAATAGATATTAACAGAACATTTTATCCAGTGACTGCAGAATATGTTCTTTTTATCAGCACATGTATCATTCTCAAGGATAGACCATATTGTAGGTTACAAAATACATTTTAAAATATTCAAAAATATTATAATAATATCAAGAATCTTCTCTGACCACAATGGAACAGAACTAGACATCAATAACAAGAGGGATTTTGGAAATTATATAAACACGTGGAAATGAAACAATATGCTCCTAACTGACCAGTGAGTCAATGAAGAAATTAAGAAGGAAATTGAAAAATTTCTTAAAACAAATGATAATGGATACACAACATACCAAAACCTATGGGATACAATGTAAGCAGTACTAAGAGGGACGTTTATAGCTAAAAGTGCCTATATCAAAAAAGAAGTAAAACTTCAAATAAATAACTAAA
The DNA here is from genome assembly GCF_000001405.40 of Homo sapiens. NCBI lineage: Eukaryota > Metazoa > Chordata > Mammalia > Primates > Hominidae > Homo > Homo sapiens. The sequence goes on from NC_000012.12 coordinate 70,020,377, forward strand.
TCATCCATCTTAAATAAGTAGAAAAGCAAGAGCAACCCAAACCCAAAATTAGCAGAAGAAAAGAAATAATAAAAATTAGAGCAGGAATAAATTAAATTGAAATGAAGAAAACAATATAAAAGATTATCAAAACTAAAAGTTTGTTTTTCGAAAAGATAAAAAGAATTGACAAACCTTTAGCCAGACTGATAAAGAAAAAAAAGAGAGAATAAATAAAATAAATAAAATCAGAGATGAAAAAACAAACATTACAACTGATATTATAGAAATTTGAGGGATCATTAGTGGCTACCATGAACAACTATATGCTAATAAATTGGAAAATCTAGAAGAAATGAATAAATTTCTAGACACATACAACCTACCAATATTGAAACATAAAGAAATCCAAAACCTAAACAGATTAATAGCAAGTTATGTGATCAAAGTCACAATAAAATGTCTCCCAGCAAGGAAAAACTCAGACCTATGGCTTCACTGCTAAATTCTACTAAACACTTAAAGAAGAATTAATAGCAATCCTACTTAAACTATTCCAAAAAATGGAGGAAGAGGAAATACTTCCAAACTTAGTTTATGAGGCCAGTATTTCCCTGATACCAAAACCAAACAAAGGCACAACAAAAAAGGAAAACCATAGGCCAATATCCCTGATGAATATTGATGCAAAAATTCTCAAAAAAATAATAGCAAACTGAATTCAACAACACATTAAAAAGATTACTTCTCATAACCAAGTGGGATTTATCCCAGGGATGCAAGGATGGTTTGATATACACAAATCAATCAATGTGATACATCATATCTACAGGATGAAAGAGGAAAATCACATGATCATGTCAATTGATGCCGAATAAGCATTTGATAAAATTCTACATCCCTTCATGATAAAAATGCTCAAAAAACTAGGTATAGAAGTAATATACATCAACATACTCAAAGCCATATACAAGAGACACACAGCTAGTATGACACTGAATGGGGTAAAACTGAAAAACTTCCTTTTGTGATCTGGCACGTGACAAAGATGCCCACTTTCACCACTGTTATTCAACATAGTACTTGAAGTCTTGGCTGGAGCAATCAGACCAGGGAAAGACATAAAGGGCATCCAAATTGTAAATGAAGAAGTCAAATTATCCTTGTTTGCAAATGATATTATTTCATGTTTGGAAAAAGCTAAAGATTCCGCACACACAACTATTAGAGCTAATAAATTCAGTAAAGTTGCAGGATACAAAATTAACATGTAAAAATTAGTAGCATTTTTATATGCCAAGAGCAAGCAATCTGAAGAAGAAATCAGTAAAATAATAATCCCATTTACAATAGCTGCAAATAAAATTAAATACTTAGGCAAAGAAGTGAAAGATCTCTATAATGAAAACTATAAAACACTGATGAAAGAAATTGAAGAGGACACAAAAAATAAAAAGATATTTCATGGTCATGGATTAGAAGAATAAGTATTGTTAAAATGTCTATACTACCCAAAGCAATCTAGAGATTCAATGCAATCCTTATCAAAATACCAATTACATTCTTCACAAAAAGAGGAAAAACAATCTTAAAATTTACATGGAACCACAAAAACCACAAAATAGCCAAAGCTATCCTAAATAAAAAGAAGAAAACCAGAGGAATCACAGTAACTAACTTCAAATTATACTGGCCAGGCATGGTGGCTCACACTTGTAATCCCAGCATTTTGGGAGGCTAAGGCGGGTGGATCACCTGAGGTCAGGAGTTTGAGACCAGCCTGGCCAACATGGTGAAATCCCGTCTCTACTAAAAATACAAAAAAATTAGCTGGGTGTTGTGGCACATGCCTGTAATCCCAGCTACATGGGAGCTGAGGCAGGAGAATTGCTTGAACCCAGGAGATGGAGGTTGTAGTGAGCTGAGATCACCCCACTGCACTCCAATCTGGGTGACAGAGCAAGTTTCCATCTAAAAATATATATATATATATACTGCAGAACTATGGTAACAAAAACAGCATGGTACTGTCATTAAAACAGACACATAGACCAATGAAACAGAATAGAAAGCCCAGAAATAAACCCATACACCTATAGTGAACTCATTTTCAACAAAGGTGTCAAGAACATGCACTGGGGAAAGAAAAATCTCTTCAATAAATGGTGTTTGGAAAACTAGATATTCATATGCTGAAGAACGAAACTTGACTTCTATCTCTTACCTCATACAAAAATCAAATCAAAATGAATTAAAGACTTAAATATAAGACCTCAAACTATGAAACTACTAAAAGAAAACATTGGGGAAACTCTCCCGGACATTGCACTGGGCATTAGTTTCTTGAGTAATACCCTACGAGAACAGGCAATCAAAGCAAAGATGGACAAATTGGATCAAAGCTTCTGCATAGCAAAGGAAACAATTAACAAAATGAAGAGACAACCCATAGAATGGGAGAAAATATGTGCAAACTATCCATCTGACAAGAGTTTAATAATCAGAATTTATAAGGAGCTAAAACAACTCTATTGGAAAAAATCTAATAATCTGATTTTAAAATGGGCAAAATATCTGAATAGACATTTTTCAAAAGAAGACATGCAAATGGCAAACAGGTATATGAAAAGATGCTCAACGTCACTGATTTTCAGAGAAATGCAAATTAAAACTACAATGGGATATCACTTTACCTCATTTCAGCCTTTCAGCATTGGACAGATCTTCCAGACAGAATGTCAACAAACGAACATCAGATTTAATCTGCACTATAGACTAAATGGACCTAATAGATATTTACAGAACATTTATTTCAGTGGCTGCAGAATACATTCTTCTCAGCACATGTATCATTCTCAAGGATGGGTCATATATTAGGTCACAAAATAAATTTTTAAATATTCAAAAGACAGACAATAACAAATGCTGGCAAAGATGTGAAGAGAAAGGAACCCTTGTCCACTGTTGGTGGGAAAATAAACAAATATCACCACTATGGAGAACAATTTGGAGGGTCCTCAAAAAACTAGAAAGAGTTATCATATGATCCAGCCATCTCACTGCTGGGTATATACCCAAAAGAAAGGAAATCAGTATATGAAAGAGAAATCTGCACTCCCATGTTTATTGCAGCACTATTTACAATAGCCAAGCTTTTGAAGCAACCTGTGTCCATCAAAAGATGAATGGATAGAGAAAATTTGGTACATATATACAATGGAGTACTATTCAGCCATAAAAACAATGAGATGCTGTCCTTTGCAACAACATGAATGGAACTGGAGGTCATCATGTTAAGTGAAATAAGCCAGGCACAGAAAGATAAACTTTGCATGTTCTCACTTATTTGTGGGAGCTAAAAATGAGAACAATTGAATTCATGGAAATAGAGTAGAAGGATATTATCAGAGGCTGGGAAGGCGAGTTGGGGGGTAGTGGGGAAGTGGAAATGGTTAATAGGTACAAAAAAAGTAATTAGAGAATGTGAATGAGACCTAGTATTTGATAGCACAAGAGGGTGGGGCGAGTATAGTTAATAATAATTTAATTGTACATTTTAAAATAACTAAAAGAATATAATTGGATTGTTTGTAACAGAAAAGATAAATGCTTGATAAATATCCCATTTACTCTGATGTGATTATGATGCATTGCATACCTGTATCAAAATTTCTCATGTATTCCATAAATATGTATACCTCCTATGTACCCACAAAAAATGAATATAAAAAATTTGAAAAATGTAGAAATATTTCAAATAATCTAATGAGGCACCTCGAGTAATTAGAAAAGCAAGAACAAACCAAACCTCAAATTATCAAAAGTAAATAAATAATAAAGATCTGAGTAGAACTAAATGAAATAAAGAAATATGAAGGATAACAAAAAGTTGGTTTTTTGAAGAGATAAGCAAAATCAATAAACCACCAGCTAGACTAATCAAGAAAAGACCCAAATAAAATCAGAAACACAAAAGGATACATTGCAACTCATACCACAGAAATACATATGATCATCAGAGAATATAATGAACAACTATATGCTAACAAACTGGAAAACCTGGAGGAAATAGATAAATTCGTGAACACATACAACCTATCAAAATTGAATCAGAAACAAATAGAAAACCTGAACAGACCAGAAAGGAGTAATGAAATTGAATCAGCTAGACAGTCTCCCAACAAAGAAAAGGCTGGGACCAGATGGATTTACTGCTGAATTTTACCAAACTTACAAAGAAGAACTAAAATCAATTCTCCTCAAACTATTCCAAAAAATTGAAGAGATGGGAATTCTTCCTAACTCATTCTATAAGACCAGTATTACCATAATACGAAAGCCAGACAAAGATGCAACCAAAACAGAAAACTTCAGGCCAATATCCTTGATGAACATAGAAAAATCCATAACTAAATCCATAACTAAATTCTAGCAAACCAAATCCAAGAGTACATTAAAAAGATAACACAATACTACCAAGTGAAATTTATCCCAGGGATGCAAAGATGGTTCAACATATGCAAATCAATAAATGTGATACATCACAACAACCAAATGCAGGGCAAAAATCACATGATCATTTCAATACATGCAGAAGAAGCATTTAATAAAATTCAACATTACTTCGTGATAAAAACTCTCAACAAATTAGCCATAGAAGAAACATACCTCAATAAATAAGGCCATATATGACAAACACACAGCTAACATACTGAATGGTGAAAAGCTGAAAGCCTTTCTTCTAAATACTGAAACAAGATAAGGATGCCCACTTTCACCACTTCTATTCAACATAATACTGGAGACCCTAGCCAGAGCAATCACGCAAAAGACAGAAATAAAAAGCATCCAAATCAGAAAAAAAGGAAATCACGTTGTTTCTCTTCAGATGAATTGATCTTAAATCTTAAAAAACCTAAACGCTCTACCAAAAAACTCTTGGATCTGATAAATACACTCAATAAAGTCGCAGGATACAAAATCAACATATAAAAATCAGTAGTATTTGTATACACCAATAATGAGTTAGCTGAGAATTAAGTCAAGAAGGCAATCTCAGCTGGGCACATGGCTTATACCTGCAATCCTGGCTAGTAAGAAGGTTGAAGCGGCAGGATTGCTTGAGGCTAGGGGTTCAAGACCAGCCTGAGCAACATAGTAAGACCCCCCCATGTATTAAAAAAAATTGAGAAAACAAAAAGTAAATAAAAATTTAAAAGAATGTAATCCTATTTACAATAGCCATAAAAAATTACTTGGGAATATATTTAACCAAGGAGGTGAAAGACATCTATAAAACACTTCTGAAAAACATTAAAGAGGAGGCAAGCAAATGGAAAAACATCCCATGCTCACAGATAAGAAAAACTAATATTGTTTAATTACCTTACTACCCAAAGCAATATACAGATTCAGTGCAATCTCTATCAAAATAACAATGTCATTTTAACAGAAATAGAAAAAACAATCCTAAAATGTGTATGGAACTGAATAAAAGCTTGAACGGCCAAGAAATTCTTAGCAAAAAGAACAAAATTGGAGGCATCACATTACCTGTCTTCCGAATACATTAAAAGTCTATCATAACCAAAACAACATGGCATTGGTATGAAAACTAACTAAAACAGCATGGTATTAGTATAAAAACAATACATAGACCAATGAAACAGAATAGAGAACACAGAAATAAATCCACATATATACAGCCAACTGATTTTTGACAAAGGTGCCAAGAACACACATTGGGGAAAAGACACTTTGTTCAATAAACGGTGCTAGGGAAATGGGCTATCCATATGCAGAAGAATAAAAATGGACCCCTATCTCTTAGCACATACAAAACCCAACTCAAGATGGATTAAGACTTAAATTTAAGACCCAAAACTAAAAATACCAGAAGAAAACATAGGAAAAACACTTCAGGACATTGGTCTAGGCAAAGATTTTATGACTAAGACTTCAAAAGCCCAGGCAAGAGAAACAAAGGTAGATGAAATGAACTATATTAAGCTAAAAGGCTTCTGCACAGCAAAGGAAACAATCAACAGAGTGAAGAGGGAGGATTAATGGGAGGAAATATTTGCAAACTATTCATATGAAAAGTGACTAATATCCAAAAAATATAAGAAACTCAAACAAATCACTATGTAAAAACCAAACAACCAACAACTCTTGTCCATTAAAAAGTGGGCAAAGGACATGCATAGACATTTCTCAAAAGAATACATACAAATAGCCAGCAGGTATATGAAAAAAAAAATAAAGATGTGGAATCAACCTAAGTATCCATCAATGGATAAATGGATAAAGAAAAAGTGGTGTATATGTATATATATACAATGGAATACTTTATGGTCATGAAAAGAATAAAAAAGAATGAAGTCCTGTCATTTGCTGCAATATGGATGGAACTGGAGGTCATTATGTTAAGTGAAATAAGCCAGGCACAGAAAGACAAATATTGCATGTTCTCATTCATATGTGGATGCTAAAAAAGTTGATCTCATGGAGGCAGAGAGTAGAATGACAGATATCAGTGTCTGGGAAGGGTCAAGTGGGGAATTGAAGAGAGATTCCTTAATGTGTACAAACATATGGGACAGAAGAAATGAATTCCAATGTTTGGTAGCAGAGTAGGATGACTATAATTAACAACAATGATTCATATATTTCAAAATAGCTAGAAAAGAGGACTTGAAATGCTCTCAACACATAGAAATAATAAATACTTGAGTGATGGATACCCTAAATATCCTGACTTGATCATTACACATTCTATGCACGTAGCAAAAATTATATGTACCCCATAAATGTATGAATATTATGTATCAATAAAAAATAAAATATGAATCCCTTACCTAGAGAGAATAACTCAGCAAGCAGGTTAGGAGGATCCTTCTAGGGGCTCCCCACAAAAACTCTTTGTGTTGCTATCCTTCCAGTTAGAACATTATATGGTCTTCATCTGTTTGTGTATCTGCTTATCTGGTCCATGGAGAGTGCTGGGGTCCTTTCTTATTCATTTTCATCTATGATATATTCAGCACACAGGTGGTTCTTATAACATTAATTGAATAGAATCAAGCTGAAAATGAGCTGGCAACTCCTGTTCTCTGTTTGCTACACTCTAGCCTGTTGATTGTTCTGTTCATTTTGTTATACCGTGTTGAGTATATAATCAATATTTGAAAGCATCGTCTTACAAAAATTCAAGAAAAAATATAAAGAGTAAAAGACACAAGTCTAGGTGTATTTCTCCCATTCCACCTCGTATTCCCACTCCCCTGCCAGAGGTTGCCACTATTATCAGTTATATCAGTTAAGTTTGTTTTCTCTCAGAGGTTCTCTTTGCATTTACAAATATATATATTATATATGTATACGTGTGTATATATATGTATGTGTGTATATACATACACACATGTGTATATATGTGTGTATATACATATACACATGTGTATATATGTGTATATGTGTGTATATGTATGTGTGTATACATATACTAAATATATATATATATACTAAATATATATATACACACACACACACAAACACACACGAAGAAATATGCCATTTTGTTTTCTGATTCTGCATTTTGCTTTTATCACAATGTTTTGGGCATTCCATGTCAGTGCATATAACCTATTAATTTTTTTAACTATTACAGCAGTTCATAGAGACTAGGTAGGGAACTGGGATCTGTTTAAATTTTTTAAAAGGAACATATTAAAGGATATTAGCCAGTTCACAGAATTTGTGACAGGGCACGAGAACTAGAGCCAGAAGCCACCACACAGCCAGGAACCATGGCCAATCACACTATGGAAACAGGAAAAGTTCCCTTGTCCCCCTTACAGGGTGAGCGATGTGGGAGTGGCTCACTTCTTCGTGCCCCCCTGCTCAAAACCCTTAACTGGAGCAGGCACACAAACAGGAAAGCATGGGCTCTGACTCCTCGGCAGCATCTAGGGGTGAATGTTTAGAGCTCCTGAACCCCAGTGGGCGTGTGTTACAGTGTGCTCTTTCAGTTTTGCATTAATTTGGCTTGCATTAATTTCGGCTTGCATTAATCAGCTCAATTAGACTTGGTGCCTCATCGCAAGGACAGAGGGCTTTCTGTATCTTGGGGCTCTTGCCTTGGTGTACTGGAAAAATCGGATCACACGTGGGCTTGGAGAATGAGTGGAAGGTTTTACTGAATGGTGGAAGTAGCTCTCAGCAGATGGATGGGGAGCTAGAAGGGGTATGGAGAGGGAAGGTGACTTTCCCCTGGAGTCGGGCTGCTCAGCAGCTGGACTCTCCTCTGACCACCCTGGCCAAATTCCCCTTGGCGTCCACGTTGTTCCGCTAGTCAATGGCCTGCCGGCGTCTGCCGGTGTCTGTTGTTGTGCTTTTCCACTCCTCTGTTCCTCTCCACGTCCAGCCGCCTGTGCGTTCTTCTGCCGGTGTGTTCCTCTTGATGTCCAGCTGCTTAAGTGTGTGCCTCCTAGGGTCTCCGGCTTTTTACGGGCACAGGATTGGGGGTGTGGCAGGCCACGGTGGTCTTGGAAAATGCAACTCTTGGGCATGAAAACAGGAGTGCCTGTGTTCGTCTAGGTCTGTGGGTACAGGCCCGAGGGTGAAGCCCTTGCCTGGGACCCTGCCTTTCACTACCCAGCACTTCCCTACCCCCCTCCCGTATCTCTATGTGCATATGTGTTTGGGGATGGGGTTAGGGAGGTGGCAGGGATTTCTGTAGCAAAGACCCACTGTCACTACTTTCCAGTCCCAGTGGTGCTGAATTCCCAGAGCTTCTCCACTGTCACACTGAAGAATGCAGATGTCTCTGCCCCACATTTGCTAGAACATTGCTTTCCTCCTGCAGTCTTCTCCTCTGGCTTTATTGTTGCCATCATGGTCACTTTCCACTCTCAAGGGGCCAAAGCAAGAGAGTGAGCTTTGGGAGAATATCAAATCTAAGGTCGCCAAAATAAGTCATGGAAATGTAGTGGTATATAGTAGCAATAACCAGTTAAGCCTTAAATAGAGTAGATCCCTTCACAATGGCAAAAAAAAACTGTGAAACAAGTAGGAACAGATCACTCAATTAGAATCCTAGATTCTGGTATTCAGATTCCATATGGTGGCAAAGAGGGGTAGAGTCAGTGGAGTTTGTCTTCCTTTGTTGTTGTGCCAGAGAAGGTGAAATGCAATTCCACTTCAGTACCTCTCACGGGCACTAAAATTTACTGACAGAATCGTAATTAAAATAACAGGTGTGCTCTTGAATTAATTAAGTGCTCACTTTTATAGATGATATACTGCAACATAGAGCTTATTTTACTGTCTAACTACTCATCCTGAGTATCCCTCTACTAACCTCCACTCCACTTGAACACACACACACACACACACACACACACACACACACACGGCTCTTCCAATGTGACAATATGAATAATACCTCAGTTTTAAGAAACAGTTTTTAATCACTTCCCATTAGCATATTACATTTATAGAGATAATATTTTCTGAATCAAAACTCGCATGCATGCTTTAAGTAAAAAACATTGAGGAGGTTTTCTCGGCTTCTTTGGCCTTCCTCTCCCACAGCCTTGAGTTCAGTAATTTGGTGAGGATGTTTTGTTCTGAGTGTATTTTGCTGTGATATATATACCTTTAACTCATGTTCACTTAAAAAAAAAACACCTGTTCCAATCTAGATGTGGACCTTTGGCAAGTACTTGGAATCTCCTAGTCTCTTGGAGACTAAGAAAATGTGAAAAGAAATTGGGAGGGAATGGGGAGAATAAGAGAGTTGAGTGAGTTAATACATAAGACAACATTTTTGGGAAAGAGTAAACTAAGCTGTCCAAATACAAATTATTTCTCTTTAAGCTGGAAAACTGTTTTGTTGTTATTGTATCCAGTGGTCTTCATTGCCTAGCCCAGGGCCTATAATAGAGGCACAGCTGAATACTAACAGCCACAGCAGCAAATGATATTTACCACAAACTTTTGTATGTGGCACTGGGCTAGGCATATGCACTATCTCACTTTAAGCTGAAATTTCCTTTTGTGTAGGTATTATTGTAATCTATATTTTATAGATAAAAATGATGGCTTATTTATTAAATTAAAATTCCAAACACACAGAAACACCCAACAAACTCTTCCAAAGAGAGTCTCTCTTTCTATTGGTGCTTGAAATTGCACAATTAGAGAGTGCTTGATTTGACATGAAACTTTGTTGCTTCTTAAGATGCAGAAACTTTGGGAAGGGAATGGCACAGTTGTGTCTCCTGAGTGCAAGCAGGCTTATCAGATCTTCTAAAAGCCAGGTTTGATAAAAGGAGGACAGAGACTGTAAGAGACTAAAGAGTCCCTCAGAGCGGGAAAGAGAGATTGCGTCTGAGAAAATTTGGGGTTTGATAAAGAAATAGATTTTTCCTAGAGCTCCTTGATCAAATAATCAGACCCACTAGCAGAAACAAGATGAGAGAACAGGAAGGGGCCCAGAAAGTGGGCTGAGCTGGGCAGAGAGGCCAGCTATTGAGATCTCTGTGGGATAGAGACAAAATGCAGAAGAAACAACAAAGACAGAGACACACGCAGCTGCTGTACAAGCCAACAGACTCATTGCATGCCCACAATTACACGTCCGTCTCTGAGGCACAGACATCAGAGGCCTCATTCCCTCAGCTTGTTAGGTACCTAGGTCCTTGGTTCCCGCTCACAGAAAAATATTTCCCTTTCCTCTGATTCCTGCTGTCTTCCTACTATCTGTCACATAGCCGGCCTGAAAACAGGCTTGAGGTGGTAGGCCAAGTTCCATACAGGAGTTTATTTACTCATGTGCTAGGCCACCCTCTGGCAACTGATCTGCCTAATGAGAGAAGCACAGTTAAAACAAGTTCCCTCATGAATAACAGTGAGGAGGAGCAGGCTCACCTTGTTCAGCACACTACCTGTGAGGCCAGATGGGTGGGAGGAGTTCCTCTCTGGCCCAAGCTTCCCATGAAAAAGGCTTCCATTTCCTATTAAGGTTACGTACTTTATCAGAAAGCTACACTGTCAGGTCTGAAAGAAGGGAATACTCATCATATATTAATACTTTAAACTGAGAAAACTACATCACAGGTATTCATTTCTTAAAAAAGAAAATCTAGAAGTTTCTTGCAAAGAACATAATTACATTGTCCCTGTTTTGAAGTTAAGACTATTAATTTGTTCCATGTAAATAATTAAAATATGCCACAGTATTAAAAATCTTGTTTTGGCATTTTTTCATTTCTTACACAAAGAGCCTCTCTGAGAAGCCCAGCACATAGTTTGGCTGACTTCACTTTCCATTTTAAAATTAAAGAAACAAAGATACTGGCTATTTGTTTGTTTACTATTCTTATCACTTAATGTTTGCTGTTGCTTCTTTTTTCAAGTTCAACAATTATTTTACCATTTTCCCTTTCCCATAGCTGTCCCAGGCCATTTTCACATCCCACTTGGTCTAGCCATGTTCTCACTCATTAACTAGAATGTATACGTTTAACTAACTTTTTAATGCTCCCCAAACCTTTTCAGGGTTTAGAACTTTTCAGGGGCCTTTGGCCTATCTCACCCTAAGTCCTTACTCCATAGACAATCTGGGGTTCTAATTTTCTCTCCTCCTACCTTGTTTCTCAAAGCTCCATTGGCACTCCTCCTCTAGAGCCTAGAGCCTAGGTATAGATGGGAAAGTTATTTAACTTTGATTTGTTTTGCCAGTTGAAAAACCTCACAATGCTCAAAAGTAGAAGTTTTGTCCAATACTTAGAAGCCATTATATCACTCTTCAGGAGGAACATTAGAAGCCATTATATCACTCTTCAGGAGGAACAGCCTGCATAAGTTGATTGATAGCAGCTGTTGCTAAATTGAGTGTGAGAATACACAGCCCATCTGGAAGGCATTTTAGGAACCCTGCAGGAAAAATGGTACAGCTATGAAAAAGGAGGAACTGAGACAGAGAGTTGGAACCTCAGGCTGTCTCCAGAGTGAGTCCTTATGGTGAGAGAGCCTCAAAGCTACAAGATTTTACATCTCAGAAAGATTTGTGGGACTATAAAAAGCTAAATATCTGTATTCTAATTAGCTGCTGACAATATAGCTGGACTAGGTAAGAGAGAAAAATGGCCTGGATGAGCACTTAGTGGGAGAAGATAAATAATAAAATATTTGTAGATCTTGAAAGAAGAGGAGATATTAAAAGTTAAATGAGGAGTAAATCAACAAGTGGTAGTTTTCCCTACTATCCTAATTTTAAAGTGAACAACTAAGTGAGCCAAAGTCTGCGGGGCTTCTCGGAGAGGCTCTTTGAATAGAAAAGTGAAACAATGCTAAAACAAGATTTCAAAAAGTGTAGCGTACTGTATTTTCTACATTTAACAAATGCAAACCTAAACGGGATGACTGCCTTCAAAAAAAGATTAAGGAGGAAACAGTCTCATAACATTAAATCCAAAATATCGGGGTACAATTGAAATCATTCATCATACAAATAACCAAAAAAATCTCAACTTGAATTAGAAAAGACAATCAACCTATGTCAACAAGAAAATACAGAGAGAGTGGAATTATCTGACAGGATTTTAAAGCAATTATTGTAAAAATGCTTTAAAAAGCAATTGTGAATATACCTGAAATGCATTAAAAGACAGAAAGTCTCAGAAAAGAAACAGAAGATGTAAAGAAGAATAAAATGGAGACTTTAGAACTGAAAAAACACAATTTAAAAAACTCTCACTGGATGAACTCAATAGCAGAATGAATAGGACATAAAAAAAAAATCAGAGAACTTGAAGTTAGAAAAATAGAAATCACCCAATCTAAACAATGGAAAGAAAATTGAATGAAAAAAAAAAATGAACAGAGCACGAGTGACCTAGAACACAGTAATGACGGATTTAACATTCATACATTGGATTTCTGGAAAGAGAGGAGAAAGAGTCTGGGGAAGAAAATGTATTCAAGTAAATAATGGCTAAAAGCTCCCCAGATCTGGTGAAATTTAATAAGGTAAGTGAGCCTTAAATGTGGTAACTCTCAAAAAGTTCATGCCTAGACACATTTTAATCACACTTTAGACAACTGAAGACCAAACAACAACAACCACCACCACCAACCAACCAAACAAAAAAACACCGTGAAAGTAGCTGGAGAGAAATGAAGCACTACTTGCAGAGGAGCAAGGATTCAAATGACAGTACGTTTCTTGTCAGAAACCACAAAGGCCAGAAAGAAATGATACACATTGTTCAAGCGTTAAAAGAAAAGAACTCTTAACCCAGAATCTTCTTTCAAGTGAAAATATCCTTCAGGAAAATAAGTAGGAAATCAAAAGACATTCCCAGGTGAAGGAAAACTAAGAGATTTTTGTTCCCAGTAGAACTACCCTAAATTTAAAAAAAGTTTTTCAAACATAAAGGAGATAAAAGAAGGGAAAATTAAGAATGAAGAAACAACAATGTAAAGTATAAACATGTGGGTAAATAGAATAGCCTTGAAGCAAAATTTTAACATTACCTGATGTGATTCTCAGTGTATATAAAAGAAATATTTAAAATAATTATATTATAAAGGGGGAAGAGTAAAGGAACCTAAGTGAAGGTAATGTTTCTATACTTTCCTCAAACTGGCAAAATGTTGACACAAAAAGACTGTGATAAGTTACATATGTATAATGTAATACCTAGAGCAACCTTTAAAATATCTATATAAAAAGATACACTCTAAAACTACAGATAAATCAAAATAGAATTCTAAAAAAAGTTCTAGTAGCCTGCAGTAAGACAAGAAACATAAAACAGAGGAATGAAAAACAGAGAACAAACAAAAAAACAAAAAATAAAATGACATACTTAAGCCCTAACCAATTAATAATTACATTAAATGTAATTATTTGGCCTACATATAGCAATTAAAATACAATGGTTGGCAGAATAGAATGGACAAAAACCAGCTGAACAAAAACTATCACCCAGCTCATATGCTATATATAAGGAATTCACTTCAAGTATAATGATATAGATAGATTGAAAGTAAAAGAATGGGAAAAATACACCATGTAAATATTAATTTAGACAAAGCAAGAAGAGCTATATTAGTTCAGATAAAGTCAACTTTAGAGAAAATAAAATTAGCAGTGACAAACAGGGACATAATGATAAAAGGGTCAATCCATCAAGAAGACATAACAAGCCTATGTATATATGCACCAAGCAACAGAGCTTCAAAACACATTAAGAAGAAACTAATCAATCTGAAAAGAGAAATAGATAAATCCACAATTATAGTTGAAGATACCAAGACCCCTTTCTCAACAATTGATACAACTGCTATACAGTAATTCAGCAAGGACATAGAAGAACTTAACAGCATCATTGACTAAGAAAATTTAATTGTTTAATTGACATTTACAGAACACTCCACTGAACAACAATAGAATATGCATTGTTTTCAAGTGCTCATGAAACATTCACCAGGATAGACCATACCTTGGGCCATAAAACAAAAGTTAACAAATATAATAGAATTGAATCATACAAGATGTGTTCTTAAATGGAATCAAACTTTATGAACTAAATCAATAATAGAAAGATAAGCAAATTTCCAAATGTGGAAATAAAACAACACACTTGATAATTCATGAGTCAAAGGGTAAGTCTCAAGGGAAACAAAAAATACACAGAGTTGGATGAAAACAAAAATACAACATATCACAATTTGTGGAACACATCTAAAGCAGTTATGGAAGAGAAACTCACATCCTCAAATGACTACATTAGAAAACAGGGAAGGTTTCACACCAATAATCTATGATCCCGTCTTAAGAAACTAGGAGAAAAAATTTACCCAAAGCAAGCAGAAAGAAGGAAATAATAAAAATAAGAACAGAAAGCAATGAAACCGAGAACAGAAAAATAATAAAGAAATAATAATAATGAAAAATAATAAATAATAATGAAACAAATCTTGTTCTTTGGAAAGATAAAGCAGACAAAGATCTAGTTAGACTGACAAAGAAAAAAGGAAAGAAAAATACTATGTGAAAAAATTACAATGATATAGCCAAATTTATGCTAACAAGACATTAAATGCCTTGTTTACAGTATCAAGAAAGAATGAAAATAAATAATTAAGTACTCAATTTCAAAAGTTATAATCAACAATATTATAATTGATTAATAAACAGAATATATTATGCATTATATCATAGGCTTCACCACTCTCTATTGTGTTATAGCCAGCCAGATCCATCCATTCATGTTATCAGCCTCATCACTGTAGGAATTTTATTTTTTACCGCTGCATAGATCTAGTGCATTCCTTTATATATAGTATGTAGTAAGTGTTCAATAACTGTCACATGAACTAATTGACCACTAATTTCAAATAGCATAGCTCACCAATTAATTCTGCTACTAAGTAGGCAAATTAGACTTGGAGTCTGAAAAATAAAAACTAGTTTCTAAACCAGATTATTTTATTACCAAAAAATAATTTCTACCTTTCTA